>NC_000010.11:7434242-7585757 GCF_000001405.40 Homo sapiens | reverse complement strand
AGCAGCTTAGGTTGCTCGGAATACCAAATCCGTACTCTCCTTTCCCAGTCTACAAGTGAAGCTGGTGAAGTTCTGGGGGAAAATAACCTGATAGGTGTTTGGAGGCTTGCCTGGTTCATCTCATGGATCCTGTTAGAAAAAGTCTTGCTGATACAAAAACAATACTGTTTTTGTAAACGGTTTTGGGGTGGAGAATTACAGCCACGTGGACCAGCCAGTGTTTCGTGCGCACCTTGGGCAGGGGCAGGTGGAACTGCTTTGCAAAACAAGGAGCCCTCTTGGTAGAGCTGCAGCAGAGTGAAACAGGTATCCTGGTGGCCCGGGAGGGTTGCGGAGGTAAAATGTGATGGGGAGGATGTGGGCTCTCAGCCACTGCACGCTTGTCTTGGGTGTTGCCCAGGTAAGGGTGCAGAATGTTAAGAGAGGAGAGAAAAGATCATAAAAATTCTGAGAAGAGTGGAGAATCAGAGCAGTGTGTTACCAGCTGTCCTAGATGTTAAGTTCTCCCAACTCAGGACCTGCGCCTTACTCTTGCCATTCCCTGTATCAACAGTACAGTGGACACAGAAGAGGTGCTCAGTATTGGAGCATTTAGCAGAACTTGACCTACTCCCTCCCCCTTCCTTTCAGGCTCTGTACAGAGACACCACCTCCTGGTTAATTCCACTTCAGTTATCTGGAAACATACAAAACACTCTGTTCAGTCTTCTCCCATCTGGGATTTTCCATCTTTCTTATATTCATGGTTTCCCAGTCCAAGACAAAGCCCTCATTTCCCAAATGAACTTAATGTGGAACTTGATCTTGCTGGGCTGGTACTTTCCATTTACACTGGGATTTCCTACTAGCCTCCCAAACAGTATAATCTAGGAACTGTTTTGGTGTTTGATGGGAGAAATAGAAGATTAGATTTAATATGATAGTGATGCTCTACGGCAGGAAGTCCACAACACCATAAAATTCTTGAAGGAACAGATTTCTCTTCATGTTTACATAGCTCCTACCTCCATGCACAGTTCCTAACACAGAGGGCATGCTCAATGGATATTTGTAGATTGGATTTATTTTAATGGCCCTGCTTACTAGCAGAATGATGTGTGTGTGCTGGTGGAGTGGGGGCCATGGAGTAATAAACAGCTTTAGAAAATGGCTGGGCCGGGTGGGGTGGCTCACACTTGTAATCCCAGCACTTTGGGAGGCCGAGGCAGGTGGATCACCTGAGGTCAGGAGTTCAAGACCAGCCTGGCCAACATGGCGAAACCCCATCTCTACTAAAAATACAAAAAGTTAGCCGGGTGTGGTGGCGGGTGCCTGTAATCCCAGCTACTTGGGAGGCTGAGGCAGGAGAATTGCTTGAACCTGGGAGGCAGAGGTTGCAGTGAGCCAAGATCATGCCAGTGCACTCCAGCCTGGGTGACAGCGAGACTCTGTCTCAAAAAAAAAAAAAGAAAAAAAAAAGAAAGAAAGAAAATGGCTGGTGTATGTTATGCTCTTTTGGACTCCAAGCCTTAGAAACCCTGTGGGTTTCCTTTATTTTTCTTGAACTGCATTGCCCTAGCCTCTGCAGGTGAACAGCAGATCAGCCTGCTTCTCTCTAAGACGTGTAGCATCAGGATTGTGAGCATGGATTTGGAAGCCAGACTGCCTGGGTTTGAATCCAGCTCCATCTTCTCTGTGCCTCAGTTTCCTCATCTGTAGAATGAAGATAACAATGGAATCGTTACCAGGATGGAGTGAGTTAAAGCATTTCAAGTGGTTAGAATGGTCCTGGCACATAGGAAGTCCTCTTTAAGCATCAGATGTGGCCATTATTTTCACCCACTCAGGTAACCCCTCTCGCTGGTGCTTGTGAGTCCTTTGATGACAGCTCCTGTCTGTTTTCAGTGGGAAGGAGATGCCCCAGTTGCTGTGGGCTTGATACCAATCCCTGCAGGGCCTCTGGTGGCTGTGTGCCATCGGGAAAGCTAATCCGTCCCTCTGCCTGTGCTCTCCTTGGCTTTAAAGTGGAGTGAGAGATTTGGCACCATTGCTGAATAGAGACAAGAGAAAAAAATGCCAGTTCATCCTTGTTCACACATCCAGGGGCACTAAGAAATTAGACTGGACCTTAAGAAAGGCAAATTAGGCCAGGCGCAGTGGCTCATACCTATAACCCTGGCACTTTGGGAGGCCAAGGCGGGTGGATTGCCTGAGCTCGGGAGCTCGAGACCAGCCTGGGCAACATGGTGAAACCCCATCTCTACTAAAATACAAAAAAATCAGCTGGGCGTGGTAGCTTGCGCCTGTAGTCCCAGCTACTGGGGAGGCTGAGGCAGGAGAATTGCATGAACCTGGGAGGCGGAGGTTGTAGTGAGCCGAGATCGCACCACTGCACTCCAGCCCCGGTGACAGAGTGAAATTCTGTTTCAAAAACAAACAAACAAAAGAAAGGCAAATTAGTGATTCCAATAAAATGTAAAATAACTTTCTTTCCATTTGGGCTCTGCATCTTAGCAAGAATTATGAACATTTGGTCATGGACATAGCCTTATCTACTTTTTTAGCTAGAAAATCTGGAGGATGTTAAGCCGTGGGGGAGATGATCTGGTTCTCTCAGATGCGGTACATTTTAATTTTAATTTTTAATTTTTGTGGGTCCAGAGTAGGTATATGTGTTTATGGGGTATATGAGGTATTTTGATACAGGCATACATTGTGTGATAATTACATCAGATAAATGAGATATCCATCACCTCAAGCATTTGTCCTTTGTTACAAACAATCCAATTATACTCAGTTATTTTTAAGTGTATCATGAAATTATTATTGAATATAATCACCCTGTTGCACTACCAAGTACTAGATCGTCTTCATTCTTTCTAACTTCTTTTTGTACCCATTAACTATCCCTACTTCTGCCCCACCCCCCACTACCCTGCCCAGCCTCTGGAAACCATCCTTCTACTCTTTATCTCCATAAGTTCAATCGTTTTAATTTTTAGCTGCCACAAATAAGCGAGAACATGGGAAGATGGTCTTTCTGTGCCTGGCTTAATTCACTGAATATAATGAGCTCCAGTTCCATCCATCTTGTTGCAGATGACAAGATCTCATTCTTTTTTGTGGCTGAATAGTGCCCCATGGTATATATGTACCACAAATGTGGTAAAATTTGCAGGTAGAGAAAAGTCACTCCAGTCAGGATGATGGATGGTGGTGATGGTCATCAAACTCTAAATTTACTACAAATCATGAATTGGACACTTAGAATGGGTGATCTTTTGGTATGTAGATTTTATCTTAAGCCATTTTAAAAAAAAAACAAAGGAAATAGGTGTTCACACTACAGTAAGGTCTCTGCTTTACTTGGTAATGGTGGGATGTTGGTAGCTTAGTCCAGTGGAATTCTTAGCTAACCCAGAAACCTCACTGTAGCTGGGGTTTCAACCTCAACCACCCAACCACCTGTCTCCCCATCCACCAAACAAATACTTGTTCAGCTCCTATCAAAGACACAGGCCCCAACTTTATTTATTTATTTTGCTCCCAAACTTAAATTGTCTGATTTATTTTAATCATAAAGTAGTAAATTTAAGAATACATGGGGCCAGGTGCTGTGGCCCCTGCCAGTAATCCCAGCACTTTGGAGGCCGAGGCGGGCAGATCACAAGGTCAGGAAATCAAGACCAGCCTGGCCAACATGGTGAAACCCGTCTCTACTAAAAAAGTACAAAAATTAGCCAGGCATGGTGGCGTGTGCCTGTAATCCCAGCTACTCGGGAGGCTGAGGCAGGAGAATTGCTTGAACACAGGAGGCAGAGGTTGCAGTGAGCCAAGATCACGCCACTGCATTCCACCTTGGGCGAAAGAGCATGACTATATCTCAAAAAAAAAAAAAAAAAAAAAAATACATGGGTGGCCGGGCATGGTGGCTCATGCCTGTAGTCCCAGCACTTTGGGAGGTTGAGGTGGGAGAACTGCTTGAGCCCAGGAGTTCGAGACCAGCCTGGGCAACATAGTGAGACCCTGTCTCTAAAAAAAAAAAAAAAAAAAAAAAGAAGGAAAAGAAAAGAAAACATGGGAACATTCTTTTTAAAGGAAGCAGTAACCTGTAGTGTAACATACATGCAGAAAAATGTACATGTAGTAAGTGTACAACTTGATATGTTTTCATAAACTGAACAGAACCTGGACCCAGATCAAGAAACAGAACATTTAGAACTCCAGAAGCCTGCTCATGTTCTCACACCATTTTTTCCATGGAAGTATCTATTCTAAAACATTTGAGGAATAAAGAAAATCATCAAAAGAAAAAAAGGAGAGAAAAACCTCCTGCTGTCCACAGATGCCTGCTAATGTCATTGGTGTTTATTGTTCCATCATTTCTCAGAGTTGAGATTTGTTTTCTGTTTCGTATGGTTTTTCTAAGCCACATATTCCTGATAAAATTTTTCTTCCCTTTCGCCCCCAACTTTATTTTATTTATTCATTTATTTATTTTATTTTTATTTTTTCTGTTGAGACCGCGTCTCACTCTGTTTCCCAGGCTGGAGTGCAATGGCACGATCTTGGCTCACTGCAACTTCCGTCTTCTGGGTTCAAGTGATTTTCTGACCTTAGCCATCCGAGTAGCTGGGATTACAGGCATGTACCACCATGCCCGGCTAATTTTTGTATTTTTGGTAGAGACAGGGTTTTGCCATGTTAGCGAGGCTGGTCTCGAACTCCTGACCTCAGGTGATCCACCCACCTTGGCCTCCCAGAGTGCTGGGATTACAGGCATGAGCCACCGTGCCTGGCTGGCCTCCAACTTTAATCAGAGCTGTTGCTGACAAGGGCCTCTGAAGGAAAAAGGGTGGCCAGGAGGAGAAATATTTCATGGCTCCTTTCTCTGTGGGGTTCTGGCAAGCAGAGGTGATCTGAAGGGACAGGAAGCAAAGAAAGGAGAGACGATGAAGGCAACAAATTCATTCTTTCATCAGCTCCACCTAGCCCTAGACAACACTGGAAGGCATCTGAGATGTCAGCAGCTACCCTCCTCCTCTTCGTTCCATGCCCCTCCTCCCCTCTGCGGCTCTTTCTCCCTCCACATTCCTGCTGTCTTCTATGCTCAACACCTTCCTGCTCTTTTCAAAGCCATTCTCAGAAGAGGGCACAGAAGCCATTGAAGCTCAGGTAAGCTAAGGCGTCGCCACATGCCTTCTGGAGAAGGTTTGTTACAGTGGGATAATCCCCATTCACTTATATGCATTTAGTAAATGCACTTGCTTTTAGCAAGTTTCTGGATGGCCCCTTAACACCTCACTCCTGTGAGCATTTGGGTGGTTGAGCGTGAACTGCAGCTATGAAAGTGCATTCAGGCTGGGCATGGTGGCTCATGCCTGTGATTCCAGCACTTTGGGAGGCCAAGGTGGGCGGATTACTTGAGGTCAGGAGTTTGAGACCAGCCTGGCCAACATGGTCAATCCCATCTCTACTAAAAATACAAAAATTAGCCAGATGTGGTGGTGTGCACCTGTAATCCCAGCTACTCGGGAGGCTGAGGCGGGAGAATCGCTTGAACCTGGGAGGCGGAGGTTGCAGTGAGTGCAGATTGCGCCATTGCACTCCAGCCTGGGTGACAGAGCAAGACTCCGTCTCAAAAAAAAGAAAGTGCAATCAGAGTGCGGAGGTGAGTGCAGAGGCTTGAGCTGTTCCGTGTTGGTGTCCTGCAGGCACAGACATCAACGGGGCCCTGCAGAGGGCCATCAGGCTCCTCAACAAGTACGTGGCCCACAGTGGCATTGGAGACCGGAGCGTGTCCCTCATCGTCTTCCTGACGGATGGGAAGCCCACGGTCGGGGAGACGCACACCCTCAAGATCCTCAACAACACCCGAGAGGCCGCCCGAGGCCAAGTCTGCATCTTCACCATTGGCATCGGCAACGACGTGGACTTCAGGCTGCTGGAGAAACTGTCGCTGGAGAACTGTGGCCTCACACGGCGCGTGCACGAGGAGGAGGACGCAGGCTCGCAGCTCATCGGGTCTGTGGTCTGTCTTCGTAGGCATGAGAGGCTGTTTGAGGGGCTGAGGGGTGGCTGCGGTGGGAATTCAGAGAGGAGTGTGTTGCTGCACCCCAGCCTTGCATCTGCTGACAACGATCATAGCTCATTGCAATGGGAGGTGTCACCATGTGTTTTGAAACTAGGCAGATCAGAGTTCGAATTCTGATCCTCCTTTATGACTTTAGGCAAGATTTTTTTTTTTTTTCTTGTGATGGAGTTTCGCTCTTGTTGCCCAGGCTGCAATGCAATGGCGTGATCTCAGCTCACTGCAACCTCTGCTTCCTGGGTTCAAGCAATTCTCTTGCCTCAGCCTCCTGAGTAGCTGGGACTACAGTCACACACCACCACGCCTGGCTAATTTTGTATTTTTAGTAGAGACAAGGTTTCTCCATGTTGGTCAGGCTGGTCTCGAACTCCTGACCTCAGGTGATCTGCCCGCCTTGGCCTCCCAAAGTACTGGGATTATGGGCGTGAGCCACCACACCCGGCCCTAAGCAAGATTTTAAGACAGTCTGTACCTCCGTTTTCTCATCTGTAAAATGAGGATTATGGTTGGTTGCAGAATTTAATGAGAAAATCGCTATATAAAAACACTATGTATAGCACTGGCACAGTGGCCATCCCATATTAAGTATTTAATGAGCTCTCATAGTTCATTGACATCCTGATATTTCAAAGCACTTTCTAGTAAGTTTACTTTTATTCTACCCTGTGAGCAAGTAGCAGAGTACTGTTATGTTCATTTTGAGTACTAGTTAAAAGATACTTTTATTTGGAAGCAAAACCATCAGATAAAACTGTTAAATAATCAGATTATTTTGAGGTGGAGAATAAATGAGATCTTTTAAATGAGAGATGGAGAAAACTCAGATCTTTTAAAACAGAAATAGCTTCCCTCCGATATTATGTTGCCACGCATCAGTCTGCTCCTTTGCTGTTCATTGAGTGAAGTGCCAGCTCCCAGTTCAGCGTGAGGTGCTTTAATCTGCATCGTGGCATATGTGGTATCTACTTAAAAGCAAAGGGGAGGTTTGGGTAGATTTATAGGTGTTTAATAGCCATAGTCAAAGCACATTTATTAATGATAAATGGAAATGGAGACACCTAAGGTGTGCAGTAAAGACAGGTCCTCGGTTTGGGATTCGCCACCGTTTCCTCCCACGCATTTTAATGAAAGATTTAAATGAAAACACAGATTTGCTTTCCACATTTTAAAAATTATTCAAAACTAGAGTCAAAGGGGAGAATCTGATACACTGGATAACAGAATTGAAATTCAATAAGGCATTCAGAAGCAAAAGCAGTTATGCTGTAACAAGTCAGCTGCACTGCCATCCCACTGAAACTATGATCGATACCTGGCATTTATGAGAACTTATGATACACCAGGAACTTCGATGTGCATCATCCCAGATGATCCTCACAGAAATCCTAGGAGGTAGGTGTATTAGGGTAAAGGCTAAGCTGCAATACAGAGATGATGAAAGGCAAAGGCTGAAATAAGATAGCCATTTCCTTCCCTCTCCTGTAATGGTAACAGGCTAGATCCTGCTCCCAGAAGTCATTCAGGGACCCAAGCTCCTTCTGTTTTATTGCTCTGCTTCCCTCAGGTGTTGTCCTTAATGCTACAGGATTGAAATTCAGTCACTATCACTCTTGTTTTCTAGCCGCAAAAAGGGAGAGAGAAAAGAAAGCCAGCATGGATTGTAAGCAAATATTGAGAAGTTGCACATCTCACTGCTACCCATATTCCATTGGGAGGACATAGTCACATAGCCATTTGTGGCCTCGATGGAGGCTGGGAAATGTAGTTTGTAGCTGGATGGCCGGAGCTCAATTCTCATGAAAGAAGGGGAAAATGGACTTTCAGGGACAGCTAGTAGGTGACCAAAGAAGTACTGTTTACATCCTGATTTTCTAGATAAGGAAACTCAAGTTCAGAGAGGTTAAGTCACATGTCCCAAGACACACAGCAAGGAAGCAACAGAGATGGAAGTCTAACTCCACAGCCTATGGTTTCTAGGCCTTTTGAAAGGGAATTTTAATTGTCTCCTTACTTAGCAAGAAGCGACCATGCAACTTAACTACAAGGAAAGCAAATGCAAGCAAATGTTATACGCACAAACTCACGAAAGTCAGGTTTCTGAAGTAGAATGCGCTGCTTAAAGCACATCTGGAATTTGTATTTGGTTCTAAGAAAAAGGTTTTTAAGAGTCCCTTTAAGAAACGTAAGTGTACACAAAGGAAATTTACCAAGACTGGTGAGGGAATCTTGAAATTGTATCACAGGAAGAATAGTTCATGAAACTGGGGATTGACTGGGCTTAAAGGAATGCACAGCATTGTTTTTTAAGCATCCAAATGTCTGTTGAAATGGATTACACTAATTCGATATTGTTCCAGAGGCAAAACTGAAACCAGTGGGTGGAAATTTCAGGGAGGAAGATTTTAATCTACTATAAGCAGGTTTTTTCTCATCATGAGAGTGGTTGAAAAACAGCTCAGAAGCCGCGTGAGAGAATGCATTCCCTCTCACCAATGGTGTTCAACCTGCTGCCTAGTGATCTCCTGGCAGAAATATTGTGTGGGGTGCCATGTTGGACTCAATTGCTTCTAAAATCAGATGCATCCCCCTGAGAGTCTGCAGTTTCCTTTAGGACTGTCCTGCCTGCTGTCAGAGCAGGGCCCTGATCTCCCTCCCTCCCTGTGCTTCCACTGCAGGTTCTACGATGAAATCAGGACCCCGCTCCTCTCTGACATCCGCATCGATTATCCCCCCAGCTCAGTGGTGCAGGCCACCAAGACCCTGTTCCCCAACTACTTCAACGGCTCGGAGATCATCATTGCGGGGAAGCTGGTGGACAGGAAGCTGGATCACCTGCACGTGGAGGTCACCGCCAGCAACAGTAAGAAATTCATCATCCTGAAGACAGATGTGCCTGTGCGGCCTCAGAAGGCAGGGAAAGATGTCACAGGAAGCCCCAGGCCTGGAGGCGATGGAGAGGGGGACACCAACCACATCGAGCGTCTCTGGAGCTACCTCACCACAAAGGAGCTGCTGAGCTCCTGGCTGCAAAGTGACGATGAACCGGAGAAGGAGCGGCTGCGGCAGCGGGCCCAGGCCCTGGCTGTGAGCTACCGCTTCCTCACTCCCTTCACCTCCATGAAGCTGAGGGGGCCGGTCCCACGCATGGATGGCCTGGAGGAGGCCCACGGCATGTCGGCTGCCATGGGACCCGAACCGGTGGTGCAGAGCGTGCGAGGAGCTGGCACGCAGCCAGGTACGAGGCACCTGTGCCAGCCAGGTGTGGGGGACGCGGGCCTGAGATACCACTCACCTCCTCCACAGGAAGCCCCAGCAGGAAGCTGTGTTATTCCATCTTGCTATAATACTTATAAACAATAACCCAGACCGGGTATAGTAGCTCACACCTGTAATCCCAGCACTTTGGGAGGCTGAGGTGGGATCCCTTGAGGCCATGAGTTCAATACCAGCTTGGGCAACACAGAGAGACCCTGTCTCTACAAAAGAAAAAAAAATTAATTATCTATGTATGGTGGAATGCCTGTAGTCTCAGCTACTCAGGAGGCTGAGGAAGGAGGATCACTGGAGCCCAGGAGTTTGAGGCTGCAGTGAGCCATGATCGTACCATTGCTCTCCAACCTGGGTGACAGAGCAAGACCCCGTCTCTAAAAAAACAACCAACCAAAAAGCAATAACACTATATACAGCTCATAATCTTCAGGGAGTATTGTAGACTGTTGTATGTGCATTACTATACACTGTGGCTGTCTAGAGAAATGAGAAAAAGGTGGCATTTGGTTCAGAAATGTCACCTAGTGAAGTCAGTCCATCAATAAAGCATCAATAAACTGAGTGCTTGCCAGGTTTCAGGCATGGGCGGAAGCACTGAAATGAACATACCAGTGCCCATTTTTCAGTGCCTTTCTATATTTTCAAGCACTTCAGAGTTATGTAGTATAATTTAATTGTGTGCTTGATTTTATTTCCCCGAGAGCATGTGGGAAGGACCAAGGTACGGATTCTTGCAAGAATCCGGTCTTTCCATGTCAGTCTCTGAGAATCTGAACAGAAGCAGGCACAGTCAGTCCCGGTGCCATTCTGCTGCGGGGATGAGTAGAGACGAGAACAAGAGAAAGGAAACACAGTGAAACCAAAGCAGGGCATTGTATTCCTGGCAGATCTGCGTGTGGAAAATCGCGTTTCACATGCATCACATTTTTACTGGGCTCCTGTCAAGTTCTCTCTCCTAGGAGAGGAAACTGAGTTTGGTCGGACCCTACTCTGCACCCCACCAATGCTGTCCCATTTATTCCTCACACTCTAAAGTCTTAGAAGGACCTGGGTGTGGAGAAAGCATGCAGTTAGGATTCACCAACCCTCCTGACCAGCTGTGAGGCCTGAGGCAGGTTTCTCAACCTCTCTGAGCTTCCATTCCCACTCCCCAGCCCTGAACACGGAGATAATCATAATTTCCCTGCAGGGCTGTTGTAAGAACTAAATATGGAATGCCGTGGGCACACAGTGAGTTTTGCACAAATGTCAGACACGCCTTCCGTGGAGGCACGGAATACCAGAAATGTATTGAAAAGTTCGGACCCTGATAGCGAGGTTGCAATTGACATGGCTATTTCAGAAAGCGTGGAGCTTGTCTTGGCAAAACGTACACAATTTTTGTTGTGATTAAAAGCATGTGGCAGGATGCTATCACTTTCTACCTATGAGATCCATGCCACATCCAGGAAAAGTGGCTTTCTGAATAAGATCTTGATGCTAGGTCATCAGCGCAAATCTCCACAGCTTCAGGAGAGATCGGATCTGGACCATACAAGACTCGGGGGGCCAGAAAGACAGAGGAGGAGATAACCAACTGACTACTCGAAAGGGTTTTTTTTTGCTTTTTTTTTTTTTTTTTTTCCGAGATGGAGTCTCGCTCTTTCGCCCAAGCTGGAGTGCAGTGGTGCTATCTCGGCTCACTGCAAGCTCTGCCTCCCAGGTTCACGCTATTCTCCTGCCTCAGCCTCCCAAGTAGCTGGGACTACGGGTGCCCACCACCGCGCCCGGCTAATTTTTTGTATTTTTAGTAGAGATGGGGTTTCACCGTGTTAGCCAGGATGGTCTCAATCTCCTGACCTTGTGATCCGCCCACCTGGGCCTCCCAAAATGCTGGGATTACAGGCATGAGCCACTGCGCCCGGCCGGTTTTTTGTTTTTTGTTTTTTAAATGAAGATTCTTCCTTTCCTTAAAGCTCTGATGGTTTTTAAATTTAAATTTTAATTTTTTTGAGAGTTGGTGGCAGCTGCCACTCCTCAAATCAGTCATCCAGTCATCCATCCTCTTTCCTGGCTAATCTACATTCTGCCCAGATCACGCTGGTCAAGACCAGTATTGAGAAGGGAGTACTTCAAGAACCTTTAGATATCTCACTCTTTAATTTCTGTGAGCAATAAAAACCAGAGAAGAGGAGCACAATTTTACCTAGTACTAACAATTTGACGTAAGATATTGATTTTATTTATAGATATTAATTACTTTTAGGTTATTCTTTCATTGAATATTTATTCAAAGCACCAGTACTTTGAAATACAAAGTGTTTCAAAATCTTCTGCTTTGTAAATTCCGCCGCACACATAGCTACAGACACTGGATTATAACTGTACCTCTTTTATTACATTATTGTTTGTTTTTGTTTTTGTTGTGAACATAAAATTTACCACCTTACCCATTTTTAAGCGTACAGTTCAATGCTGGTAAGCGATGTTAGGTATATTCACACTGTTGTGAAACAGATCTCTAGAACTTTTCCATCTTGCACGTCTGAAATGCTACAGGCCCACTGAACAACAGCTCATTTCTCCCTTCCCCTATAAATACATCTCAAGTGTGATAAAATATTTTCCCCTATAATATACACAAAAATCACAGAAAAGAATAGTATCTAAATCATACAATAATTAAATAATTAATCCTACACACTTTACATTCCACTTGTGTAGTTTCTATTCTATTCTTTTTTTTCCTTTTTTTTTTTTTTTTTGAGACAGTCTCACTCTGTTAACCAGGCTGGAGTGCAGTGGTGCAGTCACAGCTCACTGCAGCCTTGATCTCCTGGGCTCAAGTGATCCTCCCACCTCAGCCTCCCAAGTAGCTGGGACTACAGATGTGTGCCACCTTGTTGGGTTAATTTTATTTATTTATTTTTTTTTTGTAGAGACAGGGTCTCACTATATTGCCCAGGCCGGTCTCGAACTCCTGGGCTCCAGTGATCCTCCCACCTTGGCCTCCGGAAGCACTGGGATTATGGACATGAGCCACCATGCCTGGCTCTGCTTGTGTGTTTTGAGGCCAAGCTCCCTTTTTAAGACTGATGATGTTTTAAAGGTCTTTTGATTATTTAAGCTGTTACAAACGTACCTAAAAGCTGTGTTTTGCTCATGTCTCCTCTCTCCCTTTGCACCTCTCTCTTCATCTTCTTTAAGGAATGACCATGATGTTCTCTTCCTTCTCCCTTTTAGGACCTTTGCTCAAGAAGCCATACCAGCCAAGAATTAAAATCTCTAAAACATCAGGTAAAGCAAAGGATGCGGTTGTGTGTGGATTGAGAGTAAGAGATGTTTAAAAAGTGTAAAACCAGGCCAGGTGTACTGGCTCACGCCTGTAATCCCAGCACTTTGGGAGGCCGAGGTGGGTGTATTGCTTGAGGTCAGGAGTTCAAGACCAGCCTGGCCAACATGGTGAAACCTCGTCTCTACTAAAAATACAAAAATTAGCCAGGCATGGTGGCAGGGGCCTGTAGTTCCAGCTACTGGGGAGGCTGAGGCAGGAGAATCACTTGAACCTGGGAAGTTGAGGTTACAGTGAGCCGAGATTGTGCCACCACACTCTAGCCTGGACTACAAGAGTGAAACTCTGTCTCAAAAAAAAAAAAAAAAAAAAAAAGTGTAAAACCAAGAATTCCTTGAAGCCAGTTAAAAATACCAGCTCATTCAGCAATGTATCAAGCCCACAGTGTGAGGCAGAGCCTGAGAAGTGCAGCTGTTATGAAACCATCCCATAAACACCATGGAGATAGCACAGTCCCCAGGAAGCCTGGCAGGAAACCCGATGAGGCTGCAGTGAGCTATATTGCACCACCCAATAGATGGGTGGCAGAGGCACATTCTGACCCTCATTGAGTTTAGAAGACATTTGTTTTAGAGATCCGGAGCATGCATCCTTCCAGCCTCTGCTATCATAAACATAAAATGGTGCTACCAAAATAAAAATGTCTGGTGTGACAGGCAGGCTTTGTTTTTGTTTTCATTTTTTTCAGTTCGTGGCTTCAGAAGGGAAGAACAGATTTTTTCAAATGTCATGAAATTTCCTTTTGCCAGCATCCTGGAACTATAATAAAAATTCAGAGGAAAGAACAACCTATGACTGGGTTTTGTTCTGCTGTGTCCAGATCATCCTCTGGAAGTCTTGATTGTTGCCTTTCTGCTGCTGTGCTGTACGTGCAAGTTCCTAAAGCCAGGGACATCCCGGAGATGAGCTGTGGATATAGAGTCCGCACAGCCTGCGGGAGACAGAATGTAATTCCTTCCAACACACACACACAGGCTTTATGGAATGCCAGAAAAGCTTCCTCTTGGATGCTGCCTGGAGTAATGACTTTTTGACCCTCCCCTCTTTTTTGGAGCAAGCACTATCTTTCCTTGTAAAGAAATTTGGACAATTTGAGTAGAAATGGTGTGGTATGTGCACATAGAAACTCTCAGAAAACTGTCAGATGAGCTAGACAGTTGTCCTCTATCTCCATGGGTCCCGCATCCCAAGGATCGAACCAACAACAGATCAAAAATACGTGAAAAAGGAATTGCATCTGTATTGAATGTGTACGGACTTTTTTTCTTGTCTTTGTTCCTTAAACAATGTAGTGTAACAACTATTTACATCGCATCTCCTTTGCATTCATTATTATAAGTAAACTAGAGATGATTTAAAGTGTATAGAAAGGCTGCGTGCAGTGGCTAATGTCTGTAATCCCAGCACTTTGAGAGGCCGAGGCAGGTGGATCACCTGAGGTCAGGAGTTCGAGACCAGCCTGGCCAACGTGGTGAAACCCCATCTCTACTAAAAATACAATAATTAGCTGGGCATGGTGGTGCACGCCTGTAATCCCAGCTATTCGGGAGGCTGAGGCAGGAGAATCGCTTGAACCCAGGAGGCAGAGATTGCAGTGAACCGAGATTGCACCATTGCACTCCAGCCTGGGTGACAGAGTGAACCTCCGTCTCAAAAACAAAATAAATAAATAAGAATAAATTAAAAATAAAGTGTATGGAAGGCTGTGCGAAGGTTGTATACAGATACTACACTATTGTATGTCATGGACTTGAGGACGCGTGGATTTTAGTATCCGCGGGGGTCCTGGAACTAATCCCCCATGGACACCAAGAGACAACTGCGTGCATGCCTGAAAAATGCCAGCAATGTGGATGAGAACTTTGATCTCCTCTGGGGGTCAGTTTTTCCCCATCAGCAAAAGACCAGCACCTTGAATTTCTTCATATGTTGCAATTTTCAGGGAAGTTGAGGCACTTCCCAGGGAGAGCAGCCAGATCCTCTCAAGGGCCCGTGTCAGGGATGCTGGGGCAGAAAGGGTTTCTCAGCAGTCAATGCAGGGATGTTAGTTTGCTGCAGCTTAAAAAGAGTGGACTCTGCCTGGCCCCTGCCTACACCGTGCACAGCGTGCATGCAGACATGTCCATGTGCACAGAAGGCAGAGGGGCATTTGAGAAACAAGTTGTAGGCCGGTGTGGTGGCTCACGCCTGAAATCCCAGCACTTTGGGAGGCTGAGGTGGGTGGAATGCTTGAGCCCAGGAGTTTGAGACCAGCCTGGGCAACATAGTGAGACCCTGTCCCTACAAAAAATAAAAAATTAGCCTGGCATGGTGGCACGTGCCTGTAGTCCCAGCTACTCAGGAGGCTGAGGTGGGAGGACCGTTTGAGCCCAGGAGTTTGAGGCTGCAGTGAGCTCTGATTGCACCACTGTACTCCAGCCTGGTCAACAGAGTGGGACCCTGTCTCAAAAATAAATAAAATAAACAAATTGCACTTGGAATATAAATTAGAGAGAAGGTAAATCTCCAATCTGGTAAGAGAATTGATATAGATTCTCAAGAAATCTTCTGTCTGTATAATAAAAGGCAAGGCTGTTCACCTTTAACAGAGGTGAAAATGAGGAGAACAGATAAGAACTGTCAGCTGAACTTTGCGGTCTCATCTGTGGACAGAAATTTCAGAGCAGTGAAGTCGGAGTGACCCAAAGGAGGGGTTTCCGCCAGCACCCTGACTGTGCGCCTGGCCGCCTACTCGCATTTTGCTTCCCTTGCCTCTGCATCTAAGCTGGGCATGGCTCTCAGTGCCTGCGTGCAGGGGTGGCGTACAGCTGACGCTGCGAATGAGCCTGGGGTAGCCCATGGCTTCCTGGGAGAAGAAGCACCATAGATCTCCCATCATAGGGAGGAAAGTCCTCTGCATCTGTGCCATTAAAGGAGAAAGCAAATAGCAAGGGATGTCCCCCTGGGAAATGGAAGCATGGGGGCTGAGTACCAGTTGAAGGTGTGTGGGGATCTCTCTTTCCTTCTCCTCTCACCTCTCAAAGCTTAGTTGTCTAGACTGAGCTGAGGTGTGTTGAAAGGAGCATTATATTGGAATTTAGAAGACCTGAAGTCAAATGTTTACTGCAAACTCACTGGGTAATTCTGGGGAGTTGTTTCCCTCCCACTCATCTTCCTCATCTGGAAATTGAGGACACCTCCTTCCAGAATAGTTTTCAGGATTCAATAAAATAATTCATGAGAAAATAGAGAGTAGCACCTACACAAGGAAGGTACTGAATAAGTGTCTTTCTTTTTCTCTCCGTTTTCTTCTGCTCTGGCAGTGGATGGTGATCCCCACTTTGTTGTGGATTTCCCCCTGAGCAGACTCACCGTGTGCTTCAACATTGATGGGCAGCCCGGGGACATCCTCAGGCTGGTCTCTGATCACAGGGACTCTGGTAAGTTCTACCTTCCGCTGCAGCATCTGGGCAAGGACCAGGTAGGTACTGCATCCCCCTCTGTTCTTCAGATGGATGTCCAGTGATCCAAGGGCCACCTTACAGACGCTCAGTGAGTATCGTCAGTGGTTAAGGGAAGCGCACTGCGCTCCTGGACTTATGCATCCGACTCCCTGCTTTATGACAAGTGCCGTGTGACCTTGGGCACATGCCTTGGGAGTTGTTTCCCTTGTAAAATGGAGATAGGAACACTCTCTTGGCCTCACAGAGCTAATATAAAATGGATCAAATGAAACTGGTTATGAAGTTGTTTTTTAAATGCTGAAGTGCTTTAGAAATCCGCTATGTAGGCTGGGCGCGGTGGCTCATGCCTGTAATCCCAGCACTTTGGGAGGCCGAGGCAGGTGGATCACCGGAGGTCAGGAGTTCAAGACCAGCTTGGCCAACATGGTGAAACCCCATCTCTACTAAAGTTACAAAAAAATTAGCCCGGCATAGTGGTGGGCACCTGAAATCCCAGCTACTCGGGAGGCTGAGGCAGGAGAATCGCTTGAACCTGGGAGGCAGAGGTTGCAGTGAGCTGAGATCATGCCACTGCACTCCAGCCTGGGTGAAAAGAGCAAGACTCTATCTCAAAAAAAAAAAAAAAAAAAAAAAGAAAAAGAAAAAAAGAAAAGAAAACCACAATATATTATTGTGTATTATTGTCATAGTGTCTATCCATTCAAAAGCTGTGATGCCGGGGAGGCCAAGGTTCTAAACTCATGTCAGTTTCTTGATGACTTACATGGGATGTCACATGTTAATCCACAGTTCTGTCTGTGTGCCGTGAACATGTATGGACAAAGGGGCTCTGTGGCCCCTGTTGGTCTGTAGAGGGCTTGGGTGAAAGAGATTAGCACAGAGAAAGCTTTTCAAGTTCGATGCAGGTAACAAACCATGTCCAGCTCTGTGAGGACAAGCTTTGGAGTGGGCACCCCGGCACTTCCTCACTGCTGAGAACGTGTCTTGGAATGTTGGGTTGCACAGGGTCCCCCAGCAGGTGATATGTGTGATGCAATTATGTAGAGTTTGATCCTGGGGTTCCTTCAACACATGTTTTCTTGTGGGACTTTATAGCCTCAGAGCCAAATCTCTACTGTTTCTTATTTCAAAGGGCTCAGGAGCAAGATAGGGGCCTAACTGTATATGTCCTTGGAAATACCTCCTATTCTGGGAGCAGTTCCCATGGTTTCTGTCTTCAGCGAGATGTCCGTGGTGGGAACTCAGCCTGAAAATGCTTAGAACTTTGAGGCTGGAAGAGCATAGGCTCTTCTCATGCTGGGATTTCTCCTCTCCCCTGACCCCTTGCCCCAGAGAAGGCCCTTTTTTCCTTGAATGTCTAAGAAGTTTTATTGGGAAGATTACTGGGAAGATTGTTCTCAAAGCAGAGAAAACAAGAGTTAATTATATAGCAATCTTTTCTTATTGCAAATTGCTGCTTTGCCTGAGAGCAAAACACATTTAACATGCATCACCTAATTCAGCCCCAAACATCTCAAGTGCAATCGCCATCTGTTTGTTATTCAGCCAGACAGCACGGAACCCTGGGGCCTGGTTCACAGGCCTTGCTCAAGTCCAGAAAAGCCCCAGTGATGTTCATAATGATGAAGAAAAAAAAGGAGTTCTATTTCATAGCAGTTTACAACTTACACACATGCTACCTTCTGGGATCCTCACAAAAATTCTGTTAGGTTTTCCATCTGTCCATCCATTTTACAGATAAGGAAATTGAGGCAGGGTTTTTGTTTTTTTGAGATGTAGTTTCACTCTGTTGCCTAGGCTGCAGTGAAGTGGCACCATCTCAGCTCACTGCAATCTCCACCTCCTGGGTTTAAGTGATTCTCCTGCCTCAGCTTCCCCAGAAACTGGGATTACAGGTTTTTTTTTGACTTGTCTAAGGACAAACACCTAAGTGGAAGAACTTGAGTTTTTGGACAAAAACAAAACAAAAAACAACAACTAAGTTTACATTCTCCCACACTGCTCAGTGGCATCATAAGATGTCTGAGCAAACTATTGCAAGGACAGAAAACCAAACACCGCATGTTCTCACTCATAGGTGGGAATTGAACAATGAGAACACTTGGACACAGGGTGGGGAACATCACATACCAGGGCCTGTCGTGGGGTCAGGGTAGGGGGGCGGGATAGCATGAGGAGATATACCTAATGTAAATGACGAGTTAATGGGTGCAGCACACCAACAGGGCACATGTATACATATGTAACAAACCTGCACGTTGGGCACATGTACTCTAAAACCTAAAGTATAATAATAATAATAATAATAATAATAATAATAATAAAAGATGTCCGAATTAGGATCAGCAGCCTCTGGTAGGTACAAAATATGTATCAGGGTCATATAAGAGTTCTTATCACTACAGCCACACTGGAAGGAAACCAGACGAACATGGTAAGCTGTGTGTAGATGCACAAATACTTAGCTTCATGCCTCCATCTACGATATCTTGACCCAAAACTACATCCTCTCTCCCCTATCCCAACATACTGGTCAGACAACAGTAAAAAATCCGCACATAACTTTACGCATTCCCTCATTTGTTCACTCACTTGGTGACCACTGAGTGACCTCTGTGTGTAAGTCAGACATGTTTTTGGTACTAGAGATACAAAGATAAGCCCAAAGGAGGAGGGAAGTTCTAACTTGATGCGTTGGGCAGGGATAGATTTTCTTTTCTTTTCTTCTTCTTCTTCTTCTTCTTCTTCTTCTTCTTCTTCTTCTTCTTCTTCTTCTTCTTCTTCTTCTTCTTCTTCTTCCTCTTCCTCTTCCTCTTCCTCTTCCTCTTCCTCTTCCTCTTCCTCTTCTTCTTCTTCTTTCTTCTTTCTTCTTTCTTCTTTCTTCTTCTTCTTCTTCTTCTTCTTTTTTTTTTTTTTTTTAATGAGATAGGATCTCACTCTGTAGCCCAGGGTAGACTGCAGTGGTGCAATCACAGATCACTGCAGCCTTGAACTCCTGGCCTCAAGGGAACTCCTGGGCTCAAGTGAACTAGCTGGGACTACAGGCTTGCACCACTATGCTCAGCTAATTGTTTATTTTTAGTAGAGATGGGGTCTCTGTGTTGCCCAGGCTGGTCTTGAACTCCTGGACTCAGGCAATCCACCTGCCCTGGCCTTCTAAGTGCTGGGATTACAGGTGTGAGCCACCACTCCTGGTCAGATTTTCTAACCTTCTTCTTTTCCCCTTGGCCTTTGAGGTGTCACAGTGAACGGAGAGTTAATTGGGGCACCCGCCCCTCCAAATGGCCACAAGAAACAGCGCACTTACTTGCGCACTATCACCATCCTCATCAACAAGCCAGAGAGATCTTATCTCGAGATCACACCGAGCAGAGTCATCTTGGATGGTGGGGACAGACTGGTGCTCCCCTGCAACCAGAGTGTGGTGGTGGGGAGCTGGGGGCTGGAGGTGTCCGTGTCTGCCAACGCCAATGTCACCGTCACCATCCAGGGCTCCATAGCCTTTGTCATCCTCATCCACCTCTACAAAAAGCCGGCGCCCTTCCAGCGACACCACCTGGGTTTCTACATTGCCAACAGCGAGGGCCTTTCCAGCAACTGCCACGGACTGCTGGGTAGGAAGCTGCGCTCTCCTCACGCTGGGCATAGAGGGCAGAGTTACATTTCCCAAGCAAAGCTGATATTGCCAACACCTTTCGTTTGATTGAGAAATTCAATAGGAATGTGGTTTTCATTATATATACAGTCCGCATATGTATGTATGTATGTGTGTGTGTACATATATATAGTCTATACATATATACATATACATAATGTATTATATACTATACATATATATGTATATATGTATTATATATAGTCTGTATGTATGCATATGTGTACATGCAGACTGCATATGTGTATATAGTCTCTCTATATAAATACATAATATATATTATATATGCAGTCTGTATATGTATGTGTATATGGTCTGTATATGTATGTGTGTGTATATATATACAGTCTATACATATATACATATACATAATGTATTATATATTATAAATATACATGTATATATGTATTATATATACCGTCTGTATGTATATATGTATACACAGACTGATAAGTATGTATATATACAGTCTATATATGCACACATATACATAATATATAATCAGTCTGTATATGTACATATGTATGTCTGTGTGTATATATACACAGTCTATGTGTATATATGTATGTATACTGTCTATGTATGTGTGCATGATATGTGTGTATATATACATACATAGTCTGTGTATGTATATATATATGTATACCATCTTTGTATGTGTGATGTGTGTGTGTATATATATATACAGTCTGTATGTATGGTGTGTGTATATATGTACAGTCTGTGTATATGTGTATATGTATGTATACACTCTGTGTATATATGTATGTATGATGTGTGTGTATGTGTGTGTATATATATATATATAGCCTGTGTATGTATGTGTGTTTATATATACAGTCTGTATGTATGTATGGTGTGTGTATATATACACAGTCTGTATATGTATGTGTGTGTGTGTGTGTATATATATATATACAGTCTATGTGTGTATATATGTATATATATATACAGTCTATGTATGTATATATGTATATATGTAGGTATACAGTCTATATGTATGAACGTGTGTGTATATGTATATGTATGTATACAGTCTGTGTATGTATGGTGTGTGTATATATATATATATACACACACAGTCTGTATATGTATGTATGTGTGTGTGTATACATATACAGTCTGTGTATGTATGTATATATGTATGTATGTATACAGTCTATGGTGTGTGTGTGTATATATACACACAGTCTGTATATATGTGTGTGTGTACACATACACAGTCTGTGTATGTATGTACATATTATATATATTCACACCCACCGACACACACAGTCATGCCTTGCTTAATGACAGGGATACATTCTAATGGTCGTTAGGTGATTTGGTCATTACGTGACCATCTAGAATATCCTTACACAAACCTCTCTAGATAGTGTCGCATACTACCCACTCAGCTAGGCTATGTGGTGTCTCCTATTGCTCCCGGGCTGCAAACCTGTACAGCATGTGACTGCATGGACTACTGCAGGCAATTGCAACACGATGATAAGTATTTGTTCATCTAAACATATCTAGACATAGAAAAGGTACACTAAAAATATGCTATTATAATCTTATGGGACCACCATCATATTTTCAGTCCATCATTGATTAAAATGTCATGATGTGGTGCATGACTATATATGTAACATGAAAATTACATATGTAATATGAAAATTCGATTACTATATATGTAATATGAACATTAGATTACTACATATGTAATATGAAAATTAGATTCCTTCCTGGGCTTTGTGAGCTAGGAATGGGCTTTATAAACCAGTAGTTCTCTTTAGCCTTCTGGAAAAATGAATGAGGAATTAAAATGTAGTCACCTGAGGGTCCAGTTCCTTTGCTCTCAGCAAGAATACACAGACACGAGGCAGCCCTGCCCAGCGCCCAGCCTGAGCGACACCCCCACCGGGGGGGCACCCACGTGGCCGTGCCCAGCAGGCGGGCCATTCTACCCAGCTTTCTTCAACGTGTAATTTCATGTGGGCCCCTTGCCCAAAAATAAAGAGCAAGCCATTGTCAGGGTTCAGTTTAGTAGGCAGGATTTCCTGGCTCTTGAGCTGGCCGCGTTTCGTGGGGCCTGGCGGCCCAGCATGAGCTCCCCTTGCAGACACAGCTCTTTATTCCTGTGGCCTGAGCAGTGCTGCCATCTGACCAGGAGAGTCCTGAGGACGAGGGTCAGAGAGGATCTGAGCTGACTGCTTTCCACCCCCACCCGGCACAGACCTGAGACGGATAGAAAGGAGGCGGGCCTGTGACTGGGAAGAGGACAGAGAGAAGATGGAACACTACTTCCCTCTTCATATGCCCCGTCCTGTCCTCTGGACTCAGTAGGAGACCGTGGTTATCACTATGTGTAGGTTACACAACTTTCTAGTGTTAGCAGCTGGGAAGCTTCCAGCAGTCATGGGTAAATCCCACAATGTGGATAAATCCTCAGCTCTCTCCACCCTGCCCCCCAGAGCACATGTTCTTCCATGTCACTGGGAGAGTCCAGTCTCGGGCTGTGGCCAGTTGTAAGCCTTTCTGCCACTGATAGCTCTGAAGTTGGAGTTCAGCACGAGGTTTCTGCATTTGACTGAGACCCGATGCTTTTCCTTGTCCTCCCAGGTCAGTTCCTGAATCAGGATGCCAGACTCACAGAAGACCCTGCAGGGCCCAGCCAGAACCTCACTCACCCTCTGCTCCTTCAGGTGGGAGAGGGGCCTGAGGCCGTCCTAACAGTGAAAGGCCACCAAGTCCCAGTGGTCTGGAAGCAAAGGAAGATTTACAACGGGGAAGAGCAGATAGACTGCTGGTTTGCCAGGAACAATGCCGCCAAACTGATTGACGGGGAGTACAAGGATTACCTGGCATCCCATCCATTTGACACAGGGATGACACTTGGCCGGGGAATGTCCAGGGAGCTCTGAAGCTGGCAGCCTTAAAGATGCAAGTGCATGAAGGACAGTGATGTGGGGAGGCCGTGGGGCAGCTCTTTTCATGGCTTGTACACGCCTCAGCTCCTGGCAATTAGCTGGACTCCATGACCCACCCCTGGTGCAGCATAGATCCGACGTCTGTCTGGGCGAAGGGTAGGGGTGGGTAGGGGCGGGAAGCCTGAGTGCAAATGTCATTTCCCTCTACTGCCTCTTCCTGCCTCTCCCCACCCTGCCCACATCCACAGAGGGGAGAGAAGGGTCATAGCTAAATGCAACAAAGTCTGTATCTTGTCCCAACCTGCTTTTCTGTTCTGTTAGCATATCATAAAGTAAGCCTTTCTGGTGAAGGAAGGTTGCTATGAAACTTTTTTTCTTGGTGGAAATGGACAAGTTTAGGCACTCTGCTTTTTGCCTTACACTAATGCTTAGAAAGCTGTCTTTTCAGTGGTGTTGCAGCCCCCAGATGTGTGGCCAACCTCTGCTGCAAAGGAATCTCTTGCTGAGTCCAGGCCACCAATCAGGCAAATAGCCCATACATTTGATCGTTGTAAACCATGAAGTCTTTTCTTGCAAGACGTTTTTCTTCTGCTGTGGTATCTTGCCCTTAAAAATTAGTTTTCATTAAAAAGAAATTTGATTGAAAATAGAAACATCTACAGCTCAGATACTGATCTCTTTCTAATGGGCTTTGTAAACCACTTGACTTTGCTAATGGCTATTCTCCAATTTGTTCCAATAAGCTAAGGGCTTTTCATACACAGGACAACTCCATGTGGTTGATTTTACTGGCATGTCTTGGTGACGAAGAGTTGGCCAAGTGAATGATGCATCTTTTACTTGGAGCTCTCCAGCCTTTGTCATAGTTCCCAGACCTTTTTTCCTTGTGGTCATCCAGGAGGTGATCAATTACATGTGCACAGTGCTAGGACGGGAGGCAGAGCCGGCTCAGAGCAGGTCCACCAGCCCACCTATAGCAGGAAGCGTGTCGGTGCTTAGGAAATCTAGGACTTCCAGCTTCCCTCATGTCAGATAGAAAAAAAGTCAGGAAACCAGCTCGTGGACAGGGGCTTTGGTTCCAAAACTTGGACAAACCTGATGCCTTAAGGAAAAGGTTAAGATGAGAGGGGACTTCCAGAGTCAATGAACGTCACCCTTCAGCGGACGGATACCGGGAGCGCTTGGGCGAAACAGCAGAGAAAGAAAGACTGTGGTCGGGGAAGTGGAATGCTTCGATGCAGGCCAGAGTTCAAGGCTCTGGGGCTGGCCTCACAAGAGGCTTCTTCCACGGGGCTTGACACCAGAGCAGCCCCCGCGTGAAATGAGAAGGCATGCTTAGCACTGGGAGGAAAAGCTGAGTTAAGAAAATTCTTTATCATGTTTGCCTTCCCTGGGGAAACATTCAGGCAGTAAAATGACATCCACGTGTTCCTGTCGGACGCAGCGGCTTCGGGAACAAGTTAGCGCTGGGGGACTATCTGGGCTCGTCTCTCTCTGCTTCGTGAACCCACCACACCAGGGCCTGTCTGCTGTGCTATTTATTTGCCTTCCGTCTTCCCAACCTCAGCTGCCTGTATTCATGCCAGAGGTGCAAAGGCTGCCAGCCAGTGCTGCTGACAGATGCTTTCAGACTGTAGAGCTCAGAGAAAGGGAGCGGCAGCTAGAGGTAGCCAGGGAGCTGGCCAGGCTCCCCGGGGCCTTCCTATTATGTAAATCCCAGCTGGACAGACAGCCCTGGAGCCAGGTGGCCCTGTCCCCTGTGGAGCACTTGGAGCAGTGATCTGTTGTTCCAGGTGTAAGTCTCGACACTGCAGAAATGAGGACGTTATTAGGAAAGACCAGTTCCTACTGCCTGTGTTGCTACTTTAAGAGCTGAGAAAAACATTCCAATGAGCTATCCATAGCTAACTTGCTTGCTCAGAAAAACATAAGTAACAAAGTTGAGCTTTCATTTTTAAAAATTATATTTTACTTTAGAAAAATATCACCTTTTTTCTTCCTCTTCTTTACGTGTAGATCTTTTTTTTTTTTTTCAAATGGGGTCAGTACCTGAAAGCCCGAAACCCCATACCAAGCTTATAGTTAGGACCTTTGCATTTGATAAAAAAAAAATATAGTATTTTCTGTTGTCCAGAAAATCTTCCCAGATAGGGAAACTGAGGCAGAGAGTGCCGTGGAGTGGTTTTTGCCAAGTCATACAACATACTTAATGCAGGGCTACACTGAACCTCCAGAATCATTTTGTTTGCTTTGACCCTGTTTCACCATCTGGGCAATCATTTATTTTCCTTGAGCATTTATAAACCAGGGCGAGGGTTGTTCCAAAATGAGTAATTGAATGAGATGAAGAAATATGTCATAATTAGAGGAGATAAATCTCCTTGTTATCACAATAGTTAATGTGTCATGATCACTGACTAACTGGGACCTTGAACAAGTCAGCATCTCTGCCTTTCAAAATGAAGGAACATTGTTCTCTATCCTCCCCTGACCCCCGACGGCCCCATGCTAGGTGCACCATCTTCCTCCATTTGACTTTTTAATGCTTTACAACTTCAGGCTAAAGGGAGGGGATGTTGGGAGGAGAAACCATCACAAGATTCCCTCGGTGCCACAGCTGTGCTGAGGAGGCCGGGGACTGGGAATCGGAGTGGGCACCTCTGTGTTTCTCTAGGGAGTAACATTCAACATTTAATTGAATCGTGTGTCCTGATAGGTGGATTAGGAACAGGATTCATTCCTTTAACTTTAACTTTTGGCTAAACGACATGCCTTGGATTGAGTGTATATGTCTTCCCCAAATTCATATGTTGAAGCTTAAATCCTGAATGTGATGGTTCTTGGAATTGGGACCTTTGGAAGGTTATTGGGTCTTGAGGGCAGAGCCCTCACGAATGGGATTAAGGCCCTTATAAGAAGAGACATGGGGCCAGGTGCAGTGGCTCACACCTGTAATCCCAACATTTTGGGAGGCCGAGAAGGGTGGATCATGAGGTCAGGAGATGGAGACCATCCTGGCCAACATGGTGAAACCTCGTCTCTACTAAAAATACAAAAATTAGCTGGGCGTGGTGGTGCGTGCCTGTAGTTCCAGCTACTTGGGAGGCTGAGGCAGGAGAATCGCTTGAACCAGGCAGTCGGAACTTGTAGTGAGCCAAGATCACGCCACTGCACTCCAGCTGGAGTGACAGAGCCAAACTCCGTCAAAAAAAAACAAAACAAAACAAAAAAAAGACATGGGAGAGATGGTGTTTTTCCTCTCCACCACCTGGGGATACGATGAGAAGATGGCCACCTGCAAGCCAGGAAGACGGCCCTCACCAGACACCATGTCTGCTGGCACCTTGATCTTGGACCTCCCAGCCTCCAGAACTGTGAGAAATAAATGTGTTTTGTTTAAGCTACTCAAGTCTGTGGTATTCTTGTTAAGGCAGCCCAAGCTGACTAAGACACCAAATCATTCAAAACGTTAATTCTTTTTCTGTTCTTTAAGCTTCCCAGAATGTACACAAACAATGCTGTTATTAAAATTTAAAGGACTCTTGGAACTGTAGGACATGATCCAGCTAAAATAAATAACAAATAACACAGCTAAGCAAATACTTATAAATGTAGCTTTAAATATTTATTTTAGTTTTAAATAATTAGTGGGGTACGAGACAGTTCACATTCAAGAGACATTTTACTTAGACAAAAAATTTATAAGAGAACGATGCATAAAAACAAACAACATATTGGTCTGTTTATTTTTCTAAGGGAAAATGGAATTGGAGCTGTTGAGAATAAAACTTGAAGAATCTAACTGCACTGCTTGTTTGTAGGCATTTCTGAATTACACACAATGATATGTAAATGGGGTAGCAACATGGGAAGAATAATGTTAACGTAATACAATTTATTGTAGAGAACAGCAAATTCACAGCAGTGATTCCTGTGCTCTTCTGAAACTGTCAGGTACACCGGAGGGTCTTAAACCTCTCAGTCCATTCCCGTCTGGGGATTCTAGCATCCCAAACTTTGATCATTATTGGGACCAGTACATTATTGGGTACTCTTTTGCACACACTTTGCCCACCGTCTTGACTGATGCTGCTTCCACTGGGCTCAGGGTCATTTCCCTCCTAGGTGCCATTTCTAACTCGTGGTTCTGGCACTCCTACCTCCGGTTCTGAGTGGTTTTACTGGATCGCGTTTAGATTTCGGTTGAGCTATATTACAAGCTGAACGGGACAACAGATGCTTAGAACCAAAACAGACATAGGACACAAAGGAGGCATCGCTGGTGGGCTGTGTTAAAGAGAAAACAAGTGAACAACTAATGTCAAGGACTCAAGTTGACTTATCTCTGCTTTTGGCATCTTCTGTGGCTTTAAAATGAAGGGACTGGCGTGGCAGCTCACACCTGTAATTCCAGCAGTTTGAGAGGCCAAGGCGGGTAGATCACTTGAGCTCAGGAGTTCGAGACCAGCCTGGGCAACATGGAAAAACCCTGTCTCTACAAAAAATACAAAAAAAAAATTAGCCAGGTGTGGCAGCATGCACCTGTAGTCCCAGTTACCCAGGAGGCTGCGGTGGGAGGATCACCTGAGACCAGGAGGTTGAGGTTGCAGGCACCTGTGATCATGCCACTGCATTCCAGCCTGGGTGATCAAGCAAAACCCTGTCTCAAAAAAATAAAGGAACTGGAGTAGGTAATATCTACAGTCCTGTGATGTTTATCTTCTGCCTTCAGACAAAGATGCTTCCTGAGCTGCCATGTGAAAAATGCTAAACTATTCATTCAGTGACTCCAGTATGTATTTAGTTCCAGTGTGTCAGGCCCAGGGATTCCAAGGAAAACAAAGTTCATGCCTCTCTGGAATCCTTAGTTTAGAACAGGATGTTGAAAGAATGCCCAGCCTGGGCAACATAGGGAGACTGCATCTCTAGAGAAATTTTAAAAATAAGCTGGGCGTGGTGATGCGTGCCTGTAGTCCCAGCTACTTGGGAGGCTGGGGTGGGAGGACTGCTTGAGCCCGGAGGTTGAGGCTGCAGTGAGCTGAGATTGCACCACTACACTCCAACCTGGGCAACAGAGTGACACTCTGTCTTAAAAATAAATAAATAAATAAGAAAGAATGCAAAGATAGAAAGAGTGTGATCAATACTGTAAGGAAACTTGCCGAGGGCTATCTGAGCTCAGAGGAGGGACAACTATGGAGGCAGGAAGGGGGTTAGGAAACCACTCCAAAGATGGAGAGAGAGTTCAGTCAGCTGCAAGGAAGAGGAGCGTGGACAGAGGCAGTCACATGTTTCCTAGGATGTCACGCAGCCAGGAACTTCTCCCACATTGTGGCAATCTTCTTATTCCGTACAGTTTCAGGCATGGCGCTGGTGAGTTGGTGGCCTCTGAGAACCCACCATGGAAAATGCTTGGTGAAACCCTTGCCCCATGCCAGATGGGTCCCCAGTGTGGCATCCACATCCCCTCTCCCTCTCTTGAGATACGAAGAATGCCTGGGGACAGTCAGAGAACCCTGCCATGGTCATCCCACCCGCAGGGCTCCTGCCAGCGTTGGACAGAACTGATCGTTTTTTTTTTCCCATGCATTGCCTCGATGGCCACTCCATTCCCCTTCAGCTGCCTATGCCACTGAGCCCCGTAGCTTCCCTCCATGGCCCTGCCTCCTATTTTGCTGAGAAATCTGAGGCAGGAACTCCTCCTTCCTTTACTGTTTCTCGTATCAAAGGGTCTGTGTCTTTGCGTCGCTCTATCAGCTGGTACCCCCTTCCTTCCAAGCATAGCTGTCACCCTCCACTCTGGATCCCCTCTTTTCCCACATCCTCAAGTGGTTGCCTCATTTATTCCCTCTAGATTCTTGTTTTCCACCAGGTGCTTTTCTCTTGATTTCAGATATGGTTCCAAAAATGTCCTCTAGTCTGAAACTATTGTCCCTTGCTTGCACTCCCTTGGGGCTTCTACCTTCTCTTTTATTTCCTTGTTGAATTTGCTCTAGTGGTTGGTATGTGAACCCTTATATTTTTTTCTGCCCTAGTCAGTTGCTTAAGTCATCAGATTCAGCTTCTGCCTTCACCCTATTAACAGAACCACATCTTAGACGTCACGTTGCCATCTCAATGTCCCCTCCAGCGATCAGTGCCTTCGGCGTCCACTACGTGACTCTGTTGAGTAGTTTGACTTTGTTTCTTTTGTTTCTTCTGTTTCTTTTGTAGAGTGACTTTGTTTCTCTTTGATGAGATGCTGGATCCCTTTGCTTCTTTGGTGTGAATCTTTTTTTTTTTTTTTTTTTTTTTTTTGAGACAGAGTCTTGCTCTGTCGCCCAGGCTGGAGTGCAGTGGTGTGATCTCGGCTCACTGCAAACTCTGCCTCCTGGGTTCAAGTGATTCTCATGCCTCAGCCTCCCGAGTAGCTGGGATTACAGGCATCTGCTACCACCACAGCTGGCTAATTTTGTATTTTTAGTAGAGACGCGGTTTCACCATGTTTGCCAGGCTGGTCTAGAACTCCTTACCTCAGGTGATCTGCCCGCCTTGGTTTTTTAAAATCTTTCCTAGTCTCTTTTGATGAATTTCTTTCTTCCTACCAACCTGTAGGCGTACCCTAAGGTTTCTCGTTGGTACCCTGAACTTTCCCCCTTAGTGATCTCATCCATGTCTTGGTTTCCACATCTGCCTCTGCACACACTGGTGGCTCTGAACATACGTTTGCAGTGCTGATTTCTTTCAAAGTCACTTCCCTTTAGCTATTCTGGAATCATCCCAAATTTAGGAGTTAAAGCAAACTTTCTATCTTCAAAGTGACTATATTTATATTATAGATATTTGAGGTTGGGGATCTGGGAGCCAAAAGGAAGGAGACATTCCAGCACCATCCTTTTCTATTTTGGACATTGCAAATAAAGGTGAAAAAATGCCTCTCTCTAATATATATATATATATATATATATATATATATATATATATATATACACACACACATATATATATATATATATACATATATATATATGGTATATTTCATAGGAAGCCAACCCAAATTAATTTTTATTGACACAGTGTTCTTCCTGAAAATTCTCTGTTAATCATACTATGTCCTCAGAACAACAGCTGTGTTTGTGCAAGAGAAGACCCAGTGTTCTGATGGCTTCCTGGGAATTTCTGGTTATATAAGTTGAAAATCACATGTACTAAGTTCATTGACATGCCCATGAAATAACTTCATTGAACTATGAGTACAAACTTCATTGTACATGCTTTTGTGTGTGCTTTTTAAAAAAATAACAAATTTTATTAGAAGTGAGTAAGGGCAGTGTAGAAAATACAGTGCTGCAGATATTTGAGTGTGAATGAAGGCCTGAATGCTTCATTCTTTATTTGGTTCAATTTCCCACTGGAAGTCTGCCTCCTATTTCTTGACTCTTTCAGCCACGAAGTTAACATAAGCCCTATAAATGTTAAAAAGTAAAATGTCACACAAGGCCGAAGTCCAGCTTCTATTCTGAAGGTCCACAGGGAAAGTTACAGAAGAAAACAAACCTTTCTATGGGAAGGCAAAAGCAATTTAAGGCTCAGCTCAAAACTGAAGAGGGCTGGAGCCTGGGAATATTCTAGAAGCTGAAAGTCCTAGAACTTGTAGGCAACTGCTTATCCTTTCAATTTCTTCATCTGTCTGCCCGGGAAACTAAAATGGAGCACTTTGGAAATTAAATGATGAAGATAACATAGAATAAAACTGTGTGTATTACTGAATGACAATAGCATTCCAAATTGTTCATGCAATTTTCCCAGCAGAGAAAATGCTTCAAAACAAACACATTCACTTATTCATTCATTCAACTAATCTTCAGTGGGCACTGACTATGTACAGGGGACAGAGCATGCCTCCTGTCCTTCCCTGGAGATAATGTTTTGTGTAATTAGTTATGATAAGAGGTGGACAGCTGCCTGTCTTAGAGAGGTTCTGGTAAAAGGATGGGGGCTTCAAAAGGAAGAAATCGTGCTATCTGGGGTGCAAGAGGAGTTGGCCTTGGATCTGGGTCTTACAGCACCGGCCAGCATTGGAGGGGAAACATGTCGGGGAGCATTTAATCTAATAACTTTTTTCTTTATCATAAAAATTCTCAGCCTGGCACGGTGGCTCACGCCTGTAATCCCAGCACTTTGGGAGGCTGAGGCGGGTGGATCACGAGGTCAAGAGATCGAGACCATCCTGGCCAACATGGTGAACCCCCGTCTCTACTAAAAATACAAAAAAATTAACTGGGCGTGGTGGCGCATGCCTGTAATCCCAGCTACTTGGGAGGCTGAAGGAGGAGAATTGCTTGAACCTGGGAGGCAGAGGTTGCAGTGAGCCGAGATGGCGCCACTGCACTCCAGCCTGGAGACAGAGCGAGACTCCGTCTCAAGCAACGACAACAACAACAACAAAAACTCTCCAAGGAAAAGGAAAATAAATTGTATAGAAGAGTCATCCCCTGCCCTCATCACAGAGCTAATGTGCGGGATCAGGCTGGCCTGGCTGCGAGGCCCTTCCTCTTTTCATGACTCTGGGAGGCTCTGGACTAAACAAGAGCAGCGTCTACAGTGACTGCCGTGGGCTGCTGCACCTGAGTCCAGGATCCCACTTGTTTCTACCCCCTGCGCATCCCAGGCCTTTCTTCACCTCCAGAAGCAGTGGTTTCGGAGCTGCCTATTTCTGTCTAAAAGTGGCGTCTGCAGTAGCCCATGTTGTGCTGCTTCTGCCAATGGCCAGGATGGGCGTGGGCAGGGACTCCTGATGGGTGGACGTGACGGGGCCACCTTAGGAAGTCCACCAGCCCCTTCCAAGTGTTCATTGTTGGACAAGGCTTTTTTTTTTTTTTTTGGAAAGAAACCTGGCTAGAGAGGGGGAGAGTGTGGGGCCCACAGTGGAAAAGCCTTGGCCGGGCAGCCAGGCCTCTCTGCTGGGCCCACGTTTGCTCTCTTGATGCCTCAGACCCCAGGAAGCCCAGAGACCACAGGTCGGCTCCAAGTTCATGTTTCTCCCTTTTCCTTAGACATGACATCCTCGGAAACATCTCGTAATCAGCAGCTTTCGGAAGTAAATCATTGTGAGCTGGAAGGACGGGAAACATATCTGGGGAGCTGGGGTTGGGGGTGGAGAGCCTCTTGGGGGGCAGAGGTGGGTTGGGCACCACTCCACAACTGGGGATGAAATAAAGAGAGACAGAACTCACATGCATATGAGTGGCTTTTCCATGTCACCTGTCTTCTTGGGAGAGGCCTAGACAATGCAGCTGTGGATGTGATTAATGAGCCACCGGCCACACCTGGCACAGCGGTGCAGGTGGAAGCCAGGGAACTTCCCTTTCTCCCTGTCAGTTATCCTGCGCTGTGCTGGGAACACGCTCTGGTTTCTGCAGAGGAGATAAGCAAGTCCTGGGGAGAACATGGACGTTTGGCAGCCAGCGAGAAAGAAAGGAGGGGAAGGTAGACTCGAGATGGGGCCTGGGCACGGCGGATGAGCTCCTGTGGGTTGGAGAGAAGGGGAGTGGCGGGGGGCTGGGGTTGCCGCAGAGAACCCAGGACCCAGAGGGGATGTCGTTTTGGAAAAGTTTCCAAGTCATTCTTCCTCTGCACATCCTCGGTCAGCAGCGCTACCCAGGTGAACGAAGCCACTTCGAATCCAGCACTGCCCATCCTTGGGAAGGGTCATTAGTTTCTGAGGTTCACTGAGGATCGCTGGAAGCCTCCTGAGCTGAGTTTCCCCTGCGAGGCGGGTGCCCCCCACCCTGTGCCCTACTCGTTTGTTCTTTTGTGCCCGTTGTCTGGGAGATGGTGTAGATCCCATACCTCTGGCCTGCTGGCTCATGTCGACCAGGGCACCTGGTACTGGAGGGCAGAGTGCAGGGCAAAGGGCGATGGAAGGAAGGAGTGGCAAGTTACAGATCACCAGGGAGCAGGAGGCGAAGGGACCCTGGTAGATGAGATGCTTAGCCCCTTTGAGTGCTGGACACTTTGAGCATCTGATGAAATATGAAATAGAGGGACTCCTCTCTCTCTCTCTCTCTCACAATCTCTGTCTCTTTGAGATATGCCCTTCCTCTGTTGCCCACGCTGGAGTGCAATGGTGTGAGCATGGCTCACTGCAGCCTTGACCTCTGGGACTCAGTGGATCCTCGTGTCTCAGTCTCCAAGGTAGCTGTGACCCCAGGTGTGTGCTATCATGCCCAGCTAATTTTTGTTTTGTTTGTTTTTTTGTAGAGATGGGGTCTTACTGTGTTGCTCAGGCTGGTCTTGAACTCCTGGCCTTAAGTGATCTGCCTGCCTCGGCCTCCCAAAGTGCTGGGATTACAGGCATGAGCCACTGTGCCCAGCCAACTCTCTTTCTTAAAAAAAGAAAAAGGCTAACTCCCAGGTGGAGGTCCTGAGCCACGCGATCTCCTTCTAAAGCCTCCACCATGGAGGGTGCTTTGCTGCTGTGTCCTGGGGCAGCCAGGCTGTCCTTCCAAGCCTCCAGCCCTCAGGCTATGACTTAGGCCTAATTCATCCAGCTGGGGGCCTGGAATGACCCGCACTCCCGGGTTACTGCCAACGGCCCACCCCTTGCAGTGAGCAGAGTTTTGGGCACAATATCCAGGATTGTTTTTTGGTTTCTGACCTCCTGTGGCCACAACTCTTCAATTACTTCCCTCTGCAGGACTTTAACGTTTAGGTCAAAGCAGTTCTCAAGACCTCCCTGTGAGGTCAGGGAGAGGCGAGCCTATTCTTTCTTGCTTAGGGGGTCACAGGGAAGCTCACACCCAGTGACCCGCCGCTGACCACACGGTCAGCACAGAGCCAGGCCTGAGTGATTGGCTCCCAGCTGGGACCAATTGCTTCAGGTCCTCCCTGAAGCAAACACCTTGGCGCCCCTCTTTGGCGGGGCCTGCTAGGGTTACAGCTGAACAGACGGGTAAGAAAGGGAGAGAGAAACCCAGCAGGTTAAGTACAGCCAATTCCTGTCCCCATGCGGTAGGGCTTGGCTGCTGTCGCCACTGAGAGCTGGGAAAGAATGGAGCTCATTATGTAGGGGGTGGAGGGATGGCCCAGGGAGGTGTTAAGCAGAGAAAACGGTTGAAATTCAAGTCGAGGCGATGCTGCCAGCCTGGCGCCTGCTGTGAGACAGTCCGATGAACTCTGATAAACCCGGAGGCACCTTTTCCACACCACGGTCCAGCCTGGAAACTATAGCACCCTGTGGAGAGGGAAGGGCGTGCGGGGAGGGGTGCTGGGAGATGGGGTGGCGGGCTGTGTTGCTGGAGAGGCAGGAGAAGAGGGAGGCCCAATTTGCTCAGGACCCCCGAGGTTGGGCGGCTCAGCTTCTGGCTCTGGGGACTTGGGGGGTCTGCAGGGGGAGGCCGCAGCATGCAGGGCCCTGATGCAGGGGTGAGAAGAGGAGGGAAGGAGTGGGCCTGGCAGCAGGGAGGGCCCAGGTCCAGGATGCCACTCATTGAACCGCTGTGGCCATGAGCAGAGCCCTGGGATTGGCCCCTGTGCTGGGACATTGCTGGCTGCCGACCAACCCCCAGACAAGCTGGTGAGAAACATCCTCTTGGGAGATCGCAGCCAGCCTCACAAATGCCCCATATTTCCCTTTCTAGGCCTGGAGATTGGGGTGACAGCCCTTATTGGTGTCACTGAAACGTGTGTGGTTAATCTCAGTCCTTGGGATCCACATAAAACCACGTGAATGTGCTTCTCATCTAATAAATTATATATGAAGGATGCTGAAAGCAGGGCCTTGGAGAGAGATGTGTGTACCCGTGTTCACAGTTCACAGCAGCATTCCTCCAGTTACCAAGAGGTGGAAGCAACCCAAAGTCCATCGATGGAAAAATGGTAAGCAGATATAGTATGAATAGATACAGACAGTGGGATATTATTCTGCTTTAGAAAGGAAGGAAATTCTGATACATACCACCGCATGGATGCACCTTGAGGACATTATGCTGAGTGAAATGAGCCAGTCACAAAAGACAAATATTGCATGATTCTATGTATGTGAGGTCCCTAGAGTAGTAATAGAGACAGAAAGTGCAATGGTGGTGGCCAGTGATTTCAAGGAGAGCGGAAAGGAGAGTTACTGTTTAATGGGTGCAGAGTTTCCATTTTAAATGACAAAAAGTTCTAGAGATATGTGGCACAACAGTGTGAATTGCTCAATGCTACTGAACTGTACACTTAAAAATGGTTCAGATGGGCCAGGTGTGTACAGGCTCACACCTGTAATCCCAGAACTTTGGGAGGCCCAGGTGGGCAGATCACCTGAGATCAGGAGCTCAAGACCAGCCTGGACAACATGGCGAAACCCCCGTCTCTACAAAAATAGAAAAATTAGCTGGGCATGATGGTGGATACTTGTAATCCCAGCTACCTGGGAGGCTGAGGTGGGAGAATTGCTTGAACCCAGTAGGCGGAGGTTGCAGTGAGTCGAGATCGCGCCACTGCACTCCACAGAGTGAGACTGTCTCAAAAAAAAAAAAAAAAAAAAAGGTTAAGATGGTAAATTCTATGTTATATGGTTTTATTACAATAAAAAAGTGAGCATCATAGTGATAGTAAAATCTGACAAATTGCATGAGTGAAAATTACAGACAAAACCTATTTGTGAGTATTGATGCACTAACTACACTCAAAGAATAACATACAACAATGGTTAAAATGATAAACTTTATGTTGTGCATATTTTAGCACAATTTTAAAAAGCCTTCTGAGTTCTTTACTCTCTGACAAAAATCCTCAGAGGCTGAGCAGGACACAGGGAAGACGGCCAGGGAAATCCCAGACTGGCACTGCCAGAAGCTTCCAGCCCATTCCATCAGGGCACAGCCTGGGATGGGCTGGGTCCCCAGAGCTGTGCATGCTGCCAGGATGCTGAAGACACATGGTTCAGCTTGGCCCCTAGATGGTGACCATCTGTCTAGGCCCTCAGTAAGAGAAAGGGGACCCTCCATTCCTCAATGTGGGGGCCTTGATCCTTAAACAGGGGCTGTCTTTGTTTCCTGAGAGGCCAGAGGCAAAATGAAAAAGCACAAATGGATAACAGAACCCAAAATATAAATTCTGAAGGGCAACATCTAGTTTCTCTGTAGGATGGGACAGGGTAGGTCTTCTCTTCTCCTTCCTCTCCTGCTAATGAGATTCCCCTTATGAAATCCTTGCAAACTGCACCTGCTCCCATCCTTCTTAATAAGTCACCCGAATGATTGCACAGAAGCCATGTAGCATAATTTTTCAAATCTCTGCTTTTCTGATCCAGCCTAAAGGGCATGACTGGGTTGACACTCCAGTGAAGGCAAAGTTTCCACCACATGTGTCCCTGGGACCTCTCATTCTCATCTATAAACCCAGAACACTACGACCCCCCCTCCCACAGCAAGAAGCTAAACCTTGATGAAAAAATGTCTTAATAACTGGTCTTTGTCATCATTCAAAATAATCAAAATGGACCAAATGATGACCTGAACGTCAGATCATTGTATCAATAATTTTACATTTTTTCTTTTTTTAAAAAAAATTTTCTTTAAAATTTTTTTTTAAATTTTAAGTTCTGGGATACATGGGCTGAATGTGCAGGTTTGTTACATAGGTATACATGTGCCATGGTGGTTTGCTGCACCTATCAATCCATTATCTAGGTTTAACCCCTGCATGCATTAGGTATTTGTCCTAATGCTCTCCCTCCCCTTTCCCCCCATGTGGAACAAAAAAAGAGCCCTTATAGCCAAGATAATCCTAAGCAAAAAGAACAAAGCTGGAGGCATCATGCTACCTGACTATACTACATCAAACTATACTACAAGGCTACAGTAACCAAAAGAGCATGGTACTGGTATCAAAACAGACATATAGACCAATGGAACAGAACAGAGGCCTCAGAAATAACACCACACATCTATAACCATCTGATCTTTGACAAACCTGACATCTTTTCTTTTAAAAGAAAGATAGGAAGTTCCTGGATGGACATAGGTCTATGAGATGAGACCCACAAAATGTTTCTACTTCCAAAATTGCTCTAAAATTACAGTGCAAATATATCCTGCTTTCTATTACAATATTTCAACAATGAAACGGACTTTGGAAAATGTGAAAATGCTTTGTTCCTTGTGGGAGACCTTGAATGAGCACCCCTCATTAGGGGAGCTTCTGGGTGGGAATTACATGAAGCAGACGCCCCAAAGGTGGTGGGGAGAGAGAACAAACTCTGAAATACCACTCTGCTTCCAGTGGTAGCTGGGCTGATAGCCCTCTGTTGTCAATTACAAACAAAGCCCAGCTTGTATCCGATTGCAAAATAATACATATTCATTGTTAAAAACATGAAACCTTGGAAAATATAGACGGCCACAAAGAGTCTATTTCTTTTTAATTCAGTGTTTTATCTTCTTTGGGTTTTTTTTTTCCTTTGGAAAAACAAAAAAAGGTTTTCAAAAGAGCCCTATTTCCAGATTATCAATAAGGAATAAAAGACCTCTTCCGACAGTTTCAGGAAGCTATGCCAGGACACAGCAAGAAAGGTATTCTCAGAGGTGAGATTCAGGACATTTCACCAAAGTAGAAAAAGATTGGGCCCCCATAGTGCAATATGACTGGATTTTCTGCTTACTATGAAGGGAGCAGGATCCTACCCTCACAAGCGAACGTCTGTCCGACCCTCAGGAAAGATAACACGACGTCCTATTGCTGGGCACACCAGAAAATGGGAAAGGTGTGTGCCTCCCAGAGAATACTCTGAAAAACAAGTAGAGCCAGACTCCTGCCTGGAGCCTCTGAGATGCAGACCTCATGCGGCGCCCCACTCTGCCTTGCAGACACGGTCAGTGTTCTCAGTCTGAAGGACATATTATTTTATTGCTTTGAGGGCTCCTCAAGGAAATCCAAATATCTGAGAGAACCTTCTTTGTGAAGGATGACGCACAAGTCTGTTTGCCTCCACCCCATCCTGAGCGGAGGTGGCCCCAAGGCCAGTTTCCTGCCCTGGCCTGCGTGCCTGGCTGGGCAACTTTGTTCTGTTTTCAGGAACCCTTTTGGAGACACTTCAGTTCACTAGGACAGGCACGCTCTGCATCCCAGGACCAGCTCCAGCTCAGGATCTGGGATGAAGTCCAAAAAAACCTCCTGAGGTTGCGGGGGGAAGAGTCACAGTCACCACTTGATGACAGAGTAGCATCAACCCTGGGGTCTTAGGCACGGGGAAACCCTGTCTCTTGGGAGCTGAAATCCCCTTGCACTTCTACCCATTACCAGGAAACACAAAGGAACCTGGATATTAAGGATATAGCTCAAAATCGTGTATGGGAGAGGGAGGAGTGGGTCTTTGAGGACAGCGACGGGAGAGGGAGGAGCGGGGCTTTGAGGACAGCGACGGGAGAGGGAGGAGCGGGGCTTTGAGGACAGCAAATGCAAATGCTGTGGAGACAACACTTAAGGGCTTGTGGCCGTGGAGCACAGGGCAGAGCCTCCAAGTCCACGAAATTCCTCCAGCCTTCCAGTGCAAAGGGAGCTCTAGTGAGGTTTCATTTTCTGCCCTAATACATGTTTTGCCAAAACTCCTTCAAGATGAGTAAAATGGACAGGTTTATGTTCCTCTGGAGGACCAGAAAAATGGCGCCACTGTCAATGGCAGGTTAAATCCATGTAGTCAGTGCTTCGACAGCCAAGAGCTGGCTACACAGTCTTCCAACATGGGCCCCACATAATTAATTACACATGGATGATATCATTATTTCCGAAAGAGAGGGACACACGCCTCCATTCTTTTAGGTTGTATACAGACACAAAAATCAATAACACGGGCTCTCACTGTAAAGAAGCTATTCCCCGCTGAATCATTTTTCAATCCTGATTCTGACAAGGAAAAAGAGAAGTCCCAGATTTTCTGACTGTGCATTTCACACTTCTTGAATGTCTACTTCAATCAAGAAATGTCTGGACCTGGGCTCCAAAACCATCAGCAGGCCACGATATCCATCTGCAACTGAGAAACGTTTCGTTTTACAAACCAGTGAGACCAACAGGCTTACAGTAATGATTTAAGTCTTTTTTGCATAACAAACTTACAAAGTTTACTAAATCCACTTCGAGGAAAATATTGTCAATCATTGTCAGGGTAGTATAAGTTTATGGCAATAAAACCTCAAGGGTGGTAGAGGGATGACTTCAGACTGGGAAACACTTGGGCAAGATCTTTCCCTTCCCGACGCCACCCGCTGCTCTCCCACGCTGGCCTCCCTCTCCAGGACTTGCCTGACTATTTCAGAAAGGTCAGGACACCAGCAGAAGACCAAGCCAGAGGTGGGCATGGCTCAAACGGATGCTCTCCCCATCAACACATCGTTTCTACACCGCATCCTTGCACTGATGAGGCCAGTCTGTGGGCCACACTGAAAACCTCAACCCCTCATTAGCTTTCCCTCGGATTCCCTCACTTTGCAATAAAACTCTGAGCCAGGCTCAGCTCTGTGGAATCTCATTCATCAGCAATCACTCTAAGGCTAAGCAGGCCTCTGCCTGGGCTGCATGTGGGCAGATCAGATGTCCGGTGGCTGCTGATGTGGTGAGCACTGGCACAGAGCGATGTGGTGGTGACTTGAGGTCTCAGGAAAGAACTGGGGGTTTCCATTATCCTGGGCTTCCTGGGTAATGCAATCTGAAAATCAATTCTCATTAAACACAAGTGATACTAATACCTCTGACAGGTTACATCTTAAATGATAATTAAAAGCATATTTCCTGACACTTGGCTGCTATGAAATGCAGCCCTATTTATGCCACTGAGGAGGCCTCACAGTGAGGCCCTGTGGACAGCCCCCCCAGGAAGCGTCCGAGGTCCTGGATTGTCACTCATTATTTTAATCTGATTTTCTTTACTCAAGTAAAATAGAACCTGGCATTGGTGCTTTCTTTCACCACTTCCACCAGTGGTCCTTAAAAAACAGTTAACGTTGTCATAAGCCAAGGAATGAAGACTTCATCTTCCACTAACACAGTCTTTGGTTCTAGCCATGGATAGCGCTTATTAATAAGTGCAGCTGCATCCCACTAAGTTTTATAAACCTCTACAATTCATGAGAGCTGTGGCAGCTGAGACGTTACATCCTTCTCTGAGTGTCATGGTGGAAAGCATCTCAGTGTCTGAGGCCGTGGAGTGGGAAGTGGAGCTGCCAGGGTCCTCATGGACACAGACTTTCAGGAAAATATGAGTTTTTACAGTGGCCAGTCACAGTTCCTGATTTGGCACTTTTGGTATCAAAGTGTCTAATTTTATCTCAAAAATTTTCTATTGGGAATAATGGGAAGGTTCAATGTCTCCTACATTTGAACTGGACTTATTGATCATTAAAACAGATCATTAAAACAGAGGAATAGTCAACCAGACCCAAACAAGAAAAAACATATCCATCCTATGTTACATTAGCTTCCCAGGGCTGCCAAAACAAAGTACCACAAACGCAGAGGCTGAAAAGAGCAGAAATTGATCATCTCACAGTCTGGAGGCCGGAAGTCTGCAATCGAGGTGTTGGCAAGGTTGTGCTTTCTCCGAGGCCTCTAGAGAGGATCCTTCCTGCCTCCTCCAGCTCCTGGTTGCCCCATGCATTCCCTGGCTTGTGGCCACATTGCTCCAGTCTCTGCCTTTCTTTTAACCTGGCTATTTTCCCTGTGTTTTTTTCTTTTTCTTAAAAGACATCAGTCATCTTGGATTAGGGGCCCACCCTACTCCATTATGACCTCATGTTAACTAATTACTTTTTTTTTTTTTTTAGATGAAGTCTCACTCTGTCACCCAGGCTGGAGTGCAGTGGTACAATCTCAGTTCACTGCAACCTCTGCCGCCCGGGTTCAAGCGATTCTCCTGCCTCAGCCTCTTGAGTAGCTGGGATTACAGGCGTGAGCCACCGCACCCGGCCAACTAATTACATTTTTAACCACCCTATTTCTAAATAAGGTCACATTCCCAGCTGGGTGCCGTGGCTTACGCCTATAATCCCAGCATGTTGGGAGGCTGAGATAGGTGGATCACTTGAGGCCAGGAGTTCAAGACCAGCCTGGGTAACATGGTGAAACCCCATCTCTACTAAAAATATTAAAAAATTAGCTGGGCGTGGTGGTACATGCCTGTAGTCCCAGCTACTGGGGAGGCTGAGGCATGAGAATCTCTTGAACCCAGGAGGGGGAGGTTGCAGTGACCCAAGAACATGCCACTGTACTCCAGCCTGGATGACAGAGTGAGACTGTGTCTCAAAAAAAATAAAAATAAAAATAAAATAAAAATAAGGTCACATTGTGAGTTACTGGAGGTAAGGACATTAACACATATTTTTAGGTGACACAATTCAACCCATAAGACAGGTGGAAAGAGAGATTAGTTGATAAATGATGTTGGGATTACTGGATAACCATTTAACCACTGGAGGAGGGGGACACATCCGTAATTCTTTACCCTGCTCCTTACACTGAAATGCCAAATGGATCCAAGTTTTAAACGTGGAAAATCATGAAAGTATTAGAATGAGAACAGCCAACTCATAAGACTGACGGGCTGCCATGGTGTGAAAGTGCTTTACACACGTCAAAGCTGAACCCTCACAACAACCCTGCTATTATCTTCAGCTGAGGAAATGGAGGCAGGGAGAAGTTACATAATTTGCCTGAGATCACACAGCTGGGGAGTGCTACAGCTGGGTTCAAACAATGGCAGTCTGTGCTCTTAATCAATTCCATATGATGAGTACAATCTCGGAGGAAGGCAACTCTCATGTCCGGTGCTTACTTTATGCTCTTACGTAGTGCCTGGAAATCTTATAATGCATATAGGTTACTTGAAAATTTATAGGAAGATAATTTGCACCCTCTCTTTCCTCTTCCTCCTGCCTGCCACGGCCTTCCTTCCCAGGCACCCTCTTGGCAGGGCCTAATTAGATGGTTGATCTGCCCCAGATCTGCAGCTGAAGAAGCCTAGTAGCTTCTATGGTGAAACTTGCATTGGAACTACACCCTATTTCCATATCCTTCTGGAATTTTCCATTGATATGGTCTGGCTTCGTGTCCCCACCCTAATCTCATCTTGAATTGTACTCCCGTAATTCCCACATGTTGTGGGAGGGACCTGGTGGGAGATGACTTGAATCACGGGGGTGGTTTCACCCATACTGTTCTTGTGGTGGCAGATAAGTCTCACGAGATCTGATGGGTTTATCAGGGGTTTCCACTTTTGCATTTTCCTCATTTTCTCTTGCCGCCACCATGTATGAAATATCTTTCGCCTCCCACCATGATTCTGAGTCCTTCCCAGCTATGTGGAACTGTAAGTCCAATGAAACCTCTTTTTCTTCCCCGTCTTGGGCATGTCTTTATCAGCAATGTGAAAATGGACTAATACATCTGTTTTCTGTGATGCTGAGCCAAACGACTGCCTCTGATTGGGTCAAGTGCACACCCCCTTTCCAGGGTCTGCAGACGGCTTCCCGGGCATTTGTCTCCATCAGTCTTCTCAAAGGTGCAAGTGCTCGTGAGTCACCTGGAGAATGTGGTGCCAGGTCAATTCCGGTGTTGGGGGAGGGGCATGAGTCTCAGATCCTCTATTTCCAACACTCCCCCAAGGGAGGCCCACACAGATGCCTGTGGACTGTGCTTGGAGTAGCAAATGTCTAAATCTCTCTTCTCTATGAGCTCTAGCTGGTACAACTATGTCCGTCTGAAAATCAGGGCCGTGGACCTTTAACTAAAAAGACCAAAGAACCGAGACTGAAATGCTGTCCTAAAAATCTCTTTCCTAACATGCTCATAGGAGCGTGCCCCAGGGAAGATGAAGAAGAAGCTTAGGGCTGCCAAGCTTTCCTATTCAACTTGTTGAGACTTGGCCCCAAGAAATAAACCCCGCCAAAGCTCCCACGTGGAGGCAGGACTGGTAAAGTGGGGGGAGTCTCCACAGTTAGGCATTTGCCCAAAAAGACCAAGTGGCCAAAAAATAATGCACCACTACACTGATAGTTTGGGAGTTATCTGCTAAGTGTAAGTCCTTGTGCCAGACACACATTTATTTTGTTAATAACAGTAGAGAAATGGGGTAGTGCTCCAGGGTCTTAGAGTACACTTTTCTTCTGGGATCACAAAGTGCTTTAAAGATAATATCTTATCCCTATGCAAAAACAGCCATCTCTTCCCCTTGCCAGAGGAAAGATACTACCAAATGATGTCTTAATGATCACCTAAGCGTGATGGCAGAGTCACAGCCAATAACCAAGGCTCTAGACTCTCACTTCTGTGAGTGCTTATTGCTAAGTTCGCATTAGCAGGGAAAGAAAAGGTACTGGCATGTACTGAACCCCATTCACCAGGCACTTTGTCAGGTCCTTCTTACAGGGGATTGCATCAGAGTAAACAAGGGACCAGAATCAAACTACTAACTCAACCTACTGATATTCAAAGTAAATATTGATTACGGATATAGAAAGTCATTATTCCATATAGTATATTAGGAGAGTGGGGCATCACAGGCAAAACACCATCTTTGTGGTCACCAAAAAGTTGCTGGAAGATTAAGGGATTCTGAAATGGCACCCTTGACACTTTACTGGTATATGTCCACTACTGCAAACACTGAGATATTTGTTTTATGCTATTTAAACAGATACGTGCCACATACTTGTTAGGTAAGCACAAAGCCTGTTAATTAGGGGACATGAACATAAGCAGGAATGATAATGACGTCTGTCTTCAAGGAACCTACTGTTTGGTAGAAAGATAAGAAAGGCAAGTATATAATAATTTCATCATTTACCAGCTGGGGAAGTTGAAAAATGATATTTAGATATCCTCTCTGTTTTGGGAAGTAGGACGGATCATGGAAGCAGCCAGGAGGAATCAGCAAGGGAAGATGAGATGGGGTCGGTTTGGGGCAGAGGATGCCCCCTGCACACTGAGGAGTAGTACACCCACTCCAGCAGCCTGGCAAACCCAGCAGCACTCACTCACACTGACCCTGTCTCCCTAGAAGCCCCGTCTCTGCTGCAGGTGGAGTTTGCAGCCAGCAGGAGGATTCCCATCAGCCCTGTCAACGTTATCACCAGTTCTGAGTAAGGAGCAGTGGTGAACTTTGTTCCCTGGGTCACTGGAACTCCAGTAGAATTGCTGATTAAAATGGGCTGTCAGGCCACCCAGGGATTCCAGGCCACGCCTACCGCACTCCACTCATGCCAGAGGGGACCTTCTTTTCAATGACACATACAGGTCCCAGATGGTGGGTAGCCTACCACTGCCAAGAAGTAAAAAATCCCCAAAAACTCCACTTCAAATTAAGTTTCTGAATTCCTTGGTGTTCTTTTGTAGACAAAGTAGAGTAGAGACGTTTGCAAATCTCTTCCTGAACCCTTGAACCGTAAGAGTTAGCCCATGCGGGTCCACCAGTCATTACTCACCTCTCCTCCTACTCGCATTCCACCCCCTACAGCTCCTGGAATCTCCCGGAGGTGAGAATCCCTGAGGCCCAAACACTCAGAACACCCTGCAAACTCCCAAAGCCCCGCCGAAAAGACAGGGGGAAGGGGGCGTTCAGGACTTTCCCTTTCGGATCTTGGGCCTGCGCTCATGTACTGGCCTGGTCTTAGCCAGTTAAACTCTCACACGCAAAACCCAGAATTCCAATCCCAAAGGGTCCTTGATCCCTCTCCAGCCTGTCTCGCATCATGCAGGGCAAACTGTCCAAGCAGGCCTGCTTGGGATGTGGGCCGGCTGTGTTATGGAAACACTGCACGGGGCCATGGCAACAGCAACGGCAGCCCCATCCTCCCCTCCTGGGAGACGTGAGCCCAGATGCCTGCACACAGGACCAGCCGTCTGCACAGGCAACCTTATTCTAACAAGGAATGAGCCTACGTGGCCTTTGGACAGTGAATGACTCCACAGGTCCTAAGAGCCATACCTGTGGTTACAGTCGTGGGATACAAAGAAGGAAAGAGACATACTTGTTTCAGCTCCATTTTCCTCTGCATAGGATAGCTTTGCTTTTTGGATAAGGAAGAGAATTTATGTCAGGCTTTCACTCCTTTCTTTGTATGTGACACTATTGAGGCCTCCCCACCCATGCACCTACTGTTTGCACGCTGTTTGGTGATAAGCCATGGGGTTTTCTCCCAGGAAACCAACTGTCTCTGTCCTCAGGTAGTTTACCATCAGACGTGAAAAACACCAAATGAGGCTTCTTTTTGAACTTTAATCTTTGCTTTAAAAATATAAAGGGAGTGAAATGGTGCAACTAACACGCTACAGTAAATTTATTTTTCACCCAGTCAATCACATAGCTGTTATTTGTCAACTGATAATGGAAACAAAAGTCTGTTATCTGTGAATGGAGACCTGGTGGCCAGTGGCCGGTGGTATCAACTTGCATCTCTCCTAAACCTAACATCCTTCCAGGGTGCATTTTACTGTCGCAAATTGGTGAGGGCTTTAGACAATCAATACAAAGTAATCATAAGATTAAATTAATAGAACACAATTTGGAAAGGATGGCTTGGCATGAAGACAACATGTCATGTTCTAAACCAAAAAGTGGATTGTTCCCTTTTTGGATATGTAATATAATGGTTCCATTCCTCTACATTCTCTATCTCTCTCTCTTTTTTTTTTTTTTTTTTTTTTGAGACAGAGTCTCACTCTGTCACCCAGGCTGGAGAGCAGTAGTGCAATCTCAGCTCACTGCAACCTCTTCCTCCCAGGTACAAGCGATTCTCATGCCTCAGCCTCCCAAGTAGCTGGGATTATAGGTGCTCACTACCACGCCTGGCTAATTTTTTGTATTTTTAGCAGAGATGGGGTTTCGCCATGTTGGCCAGGCTGGTCTCGAACTCCTGACCTCAAGTGATCTTCCTGCCTCGGCCTCCCAAAGTGCTGGCATTACAGGCACCGGCCCCCTCTCCTTTTTATCTCCAGGGTGTCCACAGCTGCTGAGCACATCTTGAGATCTGCTTTGTGCTTCTAATCAAGGCACATTCTTTAAGTTTTTGGGGATGGAGGGAGGGTCCACTACCCCCTCTGCCAAGGGTGTTCCTGAAGCCAGCTGGGAGCAGGAATTGTAAGCAAGGAGATGGGAGGGGAACAAACACAGATTCTCTCCCCACTGGGCTGTGCAGATTAAGAGAGATACATAAACTCCAGTCCACTGGGAAAACAGCGTAAGTTCATAGAAATTGCCTATGACAAATCAGAGGCATTGCATTAGATGGAGCTGGAGTGCTTTGTGGGAAGGACTTTTAGACTCCTTCCAAAAAATAAACCCCAAGGCTCACTCTCAGTCACTTTGCTAATTCTAACCAGTATTAACTTGACCTGATAGAGACTTAATTCCCACCCACTCCCAGTTTTTGGAGCAACTTGAAGTAGCCCTTCCTTTCACCCTCCCACCATCTATCTGCTCTTCTCCCACACAAAGGCACTAAATGAGGAGCACCCAACCAGATTCCATGAATTCTCACCCTTCCCATCTTCTCTCTTTCTCACCACACCCAGAGTTCAATGCCTTAGTGCATTTTATGCTTACCTCTAAACAATTATGAAACAGTCCAATTCTTTCCACCCCCAGAGGTACGAAACCGTGATTGCATGAAGATCAGATAAACAAAACCAAATCTGACATTTATTTTCCTGTCTTTGAAGGGCAACTGAGCACTCCCGTGAGATGTCACATCCTTCTAATAGGTCAGGGGGCTGCAGTTTTCTTCCATGTTGATATGTAGCCCAGGGAGACTAACTTTACGGTGACGTCATGAATGTATAATCAAATCAAGAACCATTCACTGAATGCCCACTCTGTGCATGACACAGGGAGAGGGGCCAAGGGCCTATTATCTGGTTTTGAGGCAAACAGGCACACAAGGAAATTAACTCATGAGAGGAGGAAGTATATCAAGGCTCTGTCGGTGCTACAGGAAGTAAAAGTTCAGAGAAGAGAGAGAATATTGTGAACTAGAGCAGCTAGAGGAGGCATGGGGTGAGGGTATGGTTGGGCAGAAGCCAAAAGGGGAGGCAGAAATACCCAACACCTACTGTGAGAAGACAGCCCTTCCTGGGACAGATGGAAGGTTGGCATTAGAGAGGGGTGGGACATCATATCATGGTGGCAAAGGTCATCTGCTCTTTAGAGTGTCCAACTTCCATAAAGAATAATTCATATGGCTTTCTGGGGCAATCCTGCACCGTGGATTCTGAGGCCAATTGTATTTTCCAAAAAGGGACACTGCACTATTTCTAGTCCCACATGCTCTTCTGTACCTTGCCACTATGCCCAGCAAGAGGTAGGATCTATTTTGCCATTCCATTGAATTCAGGTGGGCCTTTGTGGTCATCTCGATGAATAGATGGCAATGGAAGTGAGGCTACATGGCTCTTGAGACAGGTCACAAACAGTGATACAGCTGCTGTCCTCTCTCTCTTAGGACACTCATCATTGAAATCCAGCCGCCATGTTGTGAGGAAGCACATGGTGCTTCCATGTTGTGAGGTCACATCGTGAGGCCACGCGTAGCTGTCCGGCAGACAAGCCTAGCTCAGGTCCTAGCCAAAAGTCAGTGTGAATCCCTGGGCATGTGAATGACTGAGCTTCAGATAATTTTAGCCCCCTGCCTTTGAACTGTCCCGGCTGACAGTGAGCAGAGCAGAGACAAGCTTTCCTTGTCAAGCCCTGCCTGAATTGCAGATTCAAGAGCAAAATAAGTGTTTTTGTTGTTTTTCGCCGCTATGTTTGGGGATAGTTTGTTACACAGTACTTGATAAATGGAACAGATTCCATATCTACCCCTTACTTAGTTGTACTAAAACTCCAACAGGAAATCAGAGTATCTGAAAATTCAGCCATGTTAAAGTGACACTATGATTGAATGTATATTGCTTTTTGTTTCAATGATGCTGATAAACTTGTTTTTCGGGTTCAATTTTCTACTTAGGCTGCATTAGGAGAATGCTTTACTTCTCTTTATCTAAACTTTTCTTCTTGTTCCTGTAGCTCAGTGATGAGTAGTGGCTTAGAGCTTTGTCTACGTTACTGTAGTGGCCTCTCCAGCAAGGCAGTTCCTAAGACTTTGGAGGCAGAGTCACCTAGCTTCATTTAAAAGCAAACAAACAAAAAATTCTTCTAGTTGCAAGTCTCTGTGATCTTCCACGTTCTGACGTGCTGATGCCTGACCAGTTGCAAACATTCATTATCCCTTGTCATTTAAGTAAGGTGAGCATAAAATGGCAGCAAGGTCAAATGTCAGCATGGTGTTGGCAAGTGTCATGGAGCCATCCTGATTGATAAGGTCTGTGTGGGCAGCTGGAAATTAACTCATACTCAGTCCCCACCTAAAATAACAGGAGGTACCAGAATCCCCTTCCATCCAAGGTTTCCCAGCATGGAATTCACTGCTGGGCCTGCAGTTTCCCGTTATCCACTCCCTAGAGCTCTATAAATTTTCTTCTTGTTTTGCTATTTGACCCTCTTGATTTAACAACTACAAAAAAGGCAACAAACTCCAAAGGAAAGTTCAAGGAAGCTTCAATTAACACTTTTCAAATGGAGCTACAAATAGGAAATAGGGTGGCACCATGGTTAAGGACTTTGGAGTTAGAGCCCCAGGTGGCCCTGAGCCCTGGAGCCTTAGCCCTGGCCAAATTATGTAGCCTGGGAGAGCCTGGCTTCCTTCATCTTTAAGATGGAGATAAGACAACCTCACCCCATTGGATTGCTGTGAAGCTTGAATGAGAAAATACCACGTGAAAACACCAGGCCTGGCTTCCAGGAGGACCTCAGTGGATGTGAGTGACTGTTGCATTGGATCAGAGAGGAATCACTAGGATTCTTCAGGTCTTTTGTAACTTTCTAGAAGTCCACTTTAATATGCAGTAAAACCAATGTGACGCAGGGTAAGTAGGCATCAGTGTATTTCAGGGACGCAATCACGATTTAGCCGAGCCCCAACCAGATGATAGAGTTGGAAATGCTCTCTGAAAGATCTCGTCAGGGTAATTATGGTGGAGGTGCTCCCTTCGTAGGGATGATATTAAAAACAGACTCATCTTTCTGTCTTAGTGCAAAGTTTCTCACAAAGAAAAACAAAAACAAAACTACTTTCAAGCACTCAAAAATTGCAACAGAGTGAACTCTTTGGTCCTCTACCTTAGGACCGCGGCTCTCATTGTTTGGTGGGCATCAGGTTCATCATGAAACCCACAGACCCACTACCCTGCTCCAGACCTGCTGAATCAGATTCTCCAGGTTTCAAGTTTTTAAAGTTCCAGAGGCGATTCACACCGTAGGCTACTGACTATCTGCTGTGCCAGGATCTCCAAGGAATTTGAGTGAGGTATTGAGATAGGAAACAAGATGTGTGATCATTCTCAAAGGGAAAGGCAAGGCTTTGAGGGATGGGCATTGCTTTCAGGGATGAGAAATCCTTTAGCAGAAATGGGCCTAGGCTCAAGAGCTCATGATCCTCCTGTTGCATCTCACCTGTTGGAGCATCATTGGTTCATTTATTGATTGATTCATTCATTCTTGTGCACATTCAACAAGGGCTTGAGTGATCACTTCATTTCAAGGACAGCTGCCCTATCACGCAGGCACTAGGATGGCCCCATTTGACAGCCTTTGTGTAAAATGTAAATAAATGCATGGCATGGTCCCTTCCTTGGAGGAGCTTCCAACATTAAATCAACAGCATTATGATCTTAGGGTTGTTCCACCTGGAAAACCATGAGGCCTATGTGTGAGGCATGTTAGGAAGTAGGGAGAAGCTGATAGACATTTAAAGGACCAAATTATTTTAAAATAGCAGAAAATACCAGCACAAACTCAAACAGGACAGAGACAAGAAAAAGAGGGTGAGAGAATAAACCTTCTATTTAGCATAGACCTCTATTAAGCAAACTGCTCAAACTAATAAGTTAACACAATTTTTTTTGTTTTTGTTTTTGTTTTTGTTTTTTTTGACTGAGTCTCTCTCTGTTGCCCAGGCTGGAGTGCAGTGGTGCAATCTCGGCTCACTGCAACCTCTACCTCCCAGGTTGAAGCAATTCTTCTGCCTCAGCCTCCCATATAGCTGGGATTACAGGTGCCTGCCACCACGCCCGGCTAATTTTTTGTATTTTTAGTACAGACAGTTTAGTAGGGGTTTCACCACATTGGCCAGGCTGGTCTCGATCTCCTGACCTCAGGTGATCCGCCCACCTCAGCCTCCCAAAGTGCTGGCATTACAGGCATGAGCCACCATGCCCAGCCATTTAACACAGAATTTTTACCAAGTGAGCTATAGCAAATTTTCTTGAACTTGTGCTAAGTTTTGTGGTCTGGTTATAAATAAAGAATGTCTAACAATGATCCCAAGAAAAGCTGTGCTAGAGTTTTCGGCCGCTCTGAGAACTCTTGTTGCCCCCTTGCGGGATGGTTAGAAAAATATTAAAACAGAAGCACTAATAGACCCCAAATATATTTTCAATGACAGCAAGTTAAAATGAACTTTTGACAAATGGCACAACCCATCTGAGCTACCTCAAAGTGGGTGCCATGAACCGAGGCTGAGAATCACCTACGGGCTGGTGTCTTATTGATAATCCCACAGCCCAGAGTTAAGCAACCGATGCTAGGACAAAACTTTGGATATGGGAGCTGCAGGACGAGGAAATCAGACTGGAGTTGAGTGAGGGAAGTGGGCTTCTGCCTCTGGTACTAACCACTGGACTACATAGAGAAAGTCACTTAATGTACCTGAGTCCAGGCACAGTGATGTACACCTGTAATCCCAGCACTTTGGGAGGCAGAGGCAGGCAAATAGCTTGAGCCCAGGATTTCGAGACCAGCCTGGGCAACATAGTGGGACTCTGTCTCCATAAAAAATTTAAAAATTAGCCGGGTGTGGTGTTTTGCATCTGTAGTCCCAGCTGCTCGGGAGGCTGAGGCAGGAGGATCAATTGAGCCTGGGAGGTTGAGGCTACAGTGAGTTGTTATCATGCCACCGCACTCCAGCCTGGGTCATAGCGTCAGGAGTTTGAGATCAGCCTGAGCAACATGGCAAAATCCCATCTCTACTAAAAATACAAAAATAAGCTGGGTGTGGTGGTGTGCTCCTGCAGACCCAGACACTCGGGAGGCTGAGATGGAAGGATCTCTTGAGCCTGGAAGTTTGAGGCTGTAGTGAGCTGTGATCATACCACTGTAGTCCAGCCAGGGTGACACAGCAAGACCCTGTCTCAAAACAAAAAAAGTACTCAAGTTTCTGTTTTCTCTATCTGGGGAAAAAAATAACTCCAAGACGTGTTGTGAAGACCAAAGAACACAAGAGATATGAAAATAATTCCAAATATAGAGCACCCTCCAAACGTTAATGATTATTATATATTTTCATTACTGCCTAAGGAACCTGAAACTATTCAGTGGTCAAGAGAGCAGCTTCGAGAGTTGATCTGCTGAATTCTAGTGGGAGGACTTCAGGCCCTCCCTCCAAGGCGTTTGGCTGAAATTTTGAGAGAAACTGAAAACCTTGGCAGTTGGTCACTTTATATTAACTCAGGGAAATGGACGTACATCAGGAGTCTTAAGAGGAAAGGTAGGAACATAAAATCACCAGTTTCAGGAAGCTTCTGGGAACAGCTGTGGGCATGGCCAGGAGAATCTTTTCTCTAGTTTTTCTTTGTTAGCTTGCGACCCTACTTTTGTTTTTGTAAACCTCAATGGTCATGCTTAGCATAGACATCTTTCCCCCCACATCTAGGCTAGAACCTAAATAGAATTGCTCACCTTTCATTCAGACTCCGTTATAATAGGGGAAACCAAAACCAACAGCGGTGCTGCATCTTTGATCTTCAAGAAGATTCCATAAATAAACTGAGAAGAGCTATTCTAATTTCACAAGGATGTCTCCATAGGCATCTGGCAGAGTCTGCAGACTGGCTCACACAGTGTGTATTCCAGCCTCTCTCTGGGGCGCCTTCCTGTGCTGTAGAGGGTGGGAGGAATTTGTTAGAGTCCCATGCAACAGGGCACACACGTGATGGTGAATTTTATGCATTAACTTGGCTGGGCCACAGTGCCCTCATGTTTAGTCAAATACTATTCTGGATTTTTCCATAAGGGTGTTTGTTTTGGGATGAAATGAACATTTCAATCAGTGGGCTTTGAGTAAAGCAGATTGTCCTCTGTGAAGTGGGAGGGGCTCATCTCATCAGTTGAGGGCCTGAATAGAACAAAAGACTGACCTCCTCCAAGCAAGAAAGAATTCTGTCAGCAGACAACATTTGAACTGGAGCTCCACCATTAGCTCTCCTGGGTCTCTAGCCCGCAGACCCACCCTGCGGATTTTAGACTTGTCAAGCCTCCATTGCTGTGTGAGCAGCTTCCTTGTAATAAATCTCTCTCTCTCTCTCTCTCTCTCCACTCACACACACACACACACACACACACGCACATGCGCGTGTGTTGTTTCTCTGGAGAACTGGCATACAAGGCACCTAATACCTAATTCAGGTCACCTAAAATGGAATTGCCATTTCCCCATCAGGAACAATTGCTTGGGACTCGAATTCTGAACTGACCTGGGGAGGGGAAGTGGGATGAAGGGCAGCACTGAGCGGGTGTGCACGCAGCAGCAACAGTCACATGCAGGGCTGGCCTGCAGGCAGGCGGCTCTCCGGTGACGACAGAATCTCAGCTTCTTGGTGGCCCCTTTCTGCTGTGTGGCTTTGGGAGGCAGCCTGGAGTGTCTTCAATTTCTTCAGCACCCCCCGCCCCCGCAGTGATGCTGGGAGTCACTGAAAGCCGGTAATCAATCCTCCTCTGTGTAACTAGCCGGGGCAGACTCTGCTGTCTGCAAGTGAACCCTGACCAGCACAGCACATCGGTCATTTTAGCTCCTGAAGCTCCTATTGTCATCTGAGCGCAGGAGCCGAGGTGACCCAACAAAGAACCTTCTATGAAGGCCCACACTGTGAGAAATTAAGTGGAAGCTCTGAACGCACAGAAACTGCACAGCAGCGTCTCCTGTGATACGGAGGCTGAATCCCCCAGGCTGGATTTCCTCGGTCACTTCTCATACTCTCCACACTCCCCAGTAAGGAATCATCCTCACATGCCACCATACAGGAGGCTAATTTCACTCCCGACTGTACAGTGGCATCCCACAGTGGCATCCAAGACAAACATCATCAGGGACCTGGGCAAAGGGCAAGGGGACGAGCAGCTGCTACTCAAACGTGGGCTTTGCCCATCGCGAAGGACTCATAAGTGTGTTTCCATGGCGGGAAACGTGGCTTCTCTTTCTCTGGCTTCATCTCCTCCAAAGCTTAAAAAATTCAAGGCTTCTGGGTGGCTAGAGTTAATAATGACTTAATTTTACATTTTAAAATAATTAAAAAGATATAACTGGATTGTTTGTAACAAAATGGATAAATGCTTGAGGGGATGGAGACCCCATTCTCCACGATGTGATTATTACACGTTGCATGCCTGGATCGAAACATCTCATGTACCCCATAAATATATACACCTACTATGTATCCACAACATCAAAATAAAAAATTACAAAAATAAAAAAAATTTAGTAAGAAATACTAACATGAAAAGTTTTTCAGTAGTGTAGTGAAAAAATGTTACAGATGGTATATTTTAGATAACCTTTAAAAATGTGTAAATATGAATAGAAAAACTTATTGGAAGAACGTATACCAAAGTATTACTAGTAACTATCTCTGGAGGAAAAATTAATTTACTCATTTTATTCTTCTTTTCAGTATGTTCCTCAGTTAATAATTTGACTCTGAAGATAGAGAGAAGATGTTTATTTTAAAATGAATATGTATAATAATTCTATCACTGATTCTACTTGAAAGAAATGGGCTTTATAAATTTATTATATTGATCATCATTTGTGAAAACTATGAAAAGCTTCCATGAACCACTCTAAAACAAAGTGGGCATTTTAAAAAAATTCGAAGCTTTATATTGGTGGCCAGTCTGTAATGAGGACCCCATGTTATTAAATGAATTACTCTTTCCCCCATCAGTCTTTGGATAAAGAACAAGGGCGCCATCATTTCCAGGCAATGAAGACATCGTTTGTACCCTTGAGGAGAGAACACTCGACAAAGTGATAAGAATTTTAGGAGCCTACAAGACTGTCTTCTTCTACCATTTCACTCACTCTGCTGTTTTCATAGCTTCTTACCATAGAAAGATAAGGAACAAAACCCATATTATTTACTTGTGTGACACTGGAAGTGAGTTCCTTCCTGGGGCTATTGGTCTATTCCATAAACCGTGTTCTGAAGACCAGCCAGGCAATTCTAGACCTCTGGGATTGGTGTTGTCCCCTCAGAAAGGACGGGGGATTCCACAACACGGGGCTCTTCGCTTAGGTGTCCAGGCAGGCATGTGCTTCCGCTCTTACTCAGATACCACAAATCCCTGGGCGCTACAACCTCCGGCAAGACGTCCTTCCACGCGTCCTGCACTGCAGCTGGGGGATCGTTTCTAAATCCGAGCAGCACGTCACTGCTCCTTCCAGAATCATTCCTACCAGGCCTTCCATCGTTTGATTTCTGCCCCCTTTCTTTTCTAACCTTGCCCCAAACCATGCCTCTCCTCTTCCTTCTCATCCTTTTTGCTCCCATCCACCGTCTGGTTCTCAGTGGGGGTCGGGAAGGCGTCTCTCCGATCTGTGCAGACTCAGCCTCTCCTCCACCCTCAGATCCCAGGCTCATCGTCATCCCTGCCCTCCCCACTCTCGCAGGACTCACAGTCTCCTTCACAGCGCTTGTCATGGGTGTCAGCTCTGCATTTGGGCTCCTTTGATTAATGCCTTTCTCCCTCACTGAAGTACAAACTCCAGGAGCAGGAACCAGATCTGGTTCTGTTCCTTCTTTTGGCCCTAGAACGCAGCACGGTGCCCGGCACAGAGTAGATACTAAGAGAGACTTGTTGAATGAATGAATGAATGAATTTAAAAAGGGAAGAATGCTGAGAAATCCAGTAAGCTTAGAAATAAACAGAAAAGGACGGAGCCTAGCCTACGACAGAGCAGGAGAATCAGGTGTCTATATTTTTCACAAAGCCAAAAGCAGACGGAGGGACTAATTAATTTTTATGTGTTCCATGCCCAGCATGGTATCTGGTATGTAGTGGTAGGTACCCATCAATATTTGTCCAATCAAAAGCGATTGCACCAGCTGGTCTCATTTCTGATAACCACCCTCTCCCCAGTAGCTTTAAAGGAAACTGACCAATGCATTTTTACAGATCAAAGACAAAATGCAATGCAGCATATCCAGTGAAAATGAATCAAGCTCTTTTCTCAAATACATCTTCATTTAATATTAAAGACTATTAGTCAAATAAAGATTGAAGAAAAAACATCTTATCACCATGACATCAGGTTGTCCTGCTTAAAAATTTCCACGGTGGCAAAGGCTGGAATATCAGTTACGGATTCATTCAGCACTAATTGCTACCTAGAGCCAATTTTCAGCTGTCTAGCAATAAGTGAAAGCTAAATATGTTATACATATTTATTTATATGGAAAATTCCATTAATTTTGTTTACAAGGGCAATGGCATGTTTCAGAGATGGAGTCCGTGTGCTGGACTGAAAGATTCGACAGCAAGATGTCAGAGAAATCTATGGAAGGACCTCATATTGCTTGTTTGGGGGTTTCACAGAGCCTTAGAAATAGGTTCCTTTCAATGCCATAATTTTACGTCTCTGGTCTACACTTACTATTCTATATCATACAACTGCAAATGCATTTGATTCTAGGTATTCACATGGGCAGTCATTGAGAAATAAGAAAGATAAGCCTGGCACAGCGGCTCACGCCTGTCATCCCAACACTTTGAGAGGCTGAAGCAGAGGATTGCTTGAGGTCAGGAGTTTGAGACCAGCCTGGGAACACAGTGAGACCCCATCTCTATAAAAATATTAAGAAATATTAGCCAGCCATGGTGGCATGTGCCTATCGTCTTAGCTACTCAGGAGGCTGAGGCAGGAGGATTGTTTGAGCCCAGGAGGTCAGGGTTGCAGTGAGCCGTGATGACACCACTGCAGTTCAGCCTGGGTGACAGAGTGAGACCCTCCCTGTCTCAAAAAAAATTGTAAAATATATATTATAGTTACCTATGTCAGGGTTCCCAATTTCCGGGGCCTGTTAGGAACTGGGCTGCCCAGCAAGGATGAGCAGCTGGCAAGCCAGCAATTAATTACGCCTGAGCTCCCCCTCCTGTCAGATCGGCATTGGCACTGCATCCTCATAGGAGTGCCGAACCTATTGTAAAGGATCTAAGTTGCGTGCTCCTTATGAGAACCTAATGCCTGATGATTTGAGGTGGAACAGTTTCATCCCGAAGCCATCCCCCCCACCTCCTACCACCCTCCTCCCTTTCCCTCTCCTCCCCCTCCCCCATGCCCCCAGGTCACTGGAAAAATTGTCTCCCAAGAAACTGGTCCCTCCCTGGTGCCAAAAAAGTTGGGGACCGCTGACCTACATGTTATGATTTTTGTCTGCCCCAGTGACTTCAATGGAGATATTAAATTGTAATATTTATATTTTTATGATTTTTATGGTAACTTTGATCATAAGTAATGCCAATTTATGTCCACAAAATGAGAAAATTAAGACAGAGAGAATTTTAGAAACATCTTCAGACTAAGCAGCACAGTGGATAAACTAGAAATCTGGACAAAATTTATGTACCTCAACCAATGGTGTTTTAAAAATAAGCCAAAGTTAAAGAAAATTAAGCATTTCTGGAATAGTTTTATGCTTTTTGTACATATTAGATTTATCTCATTTGACTTTCATGTGTGGTGTATAACAGGAAAAAGAACAATTTATTTTGTGCTAAAGGCTATTTTATAAACTAAGAAGAATTATCCTCCACCGTGTGTCATATTTGGAATATTCAGGAGTAAAAAGTATGAGTACAAGTTATCATTGGACAAAAAACCTAGAAACTGGTAAAATCTTTCTTCTTCCATTCCACATATTGAATGAAAGTGATAAAAATCTAACCAGATTCTCCAAGGACGTTGTCTTTCTTCCTTTGGTTCCTTAAGATGTTTTGCTGGAAGAGAAGGAAAAGAAAAAATCAGAATCCCACAGCAGCGTTTTCAGATTTATTGAGGAGGGAAAAGTCACGGACAGGGATGCAAAAGAGAAAGCTCGGAACCTAGAGCCTGTGCTTTTGTAGAGTCTTTTTCTTCCTGTTATTAATCACAAGACCAAAACCTTTGAAGGGAGCTCCATTTCACCCCCCCGGGGGCATTTCCAGAGCCTTCCTTGTTACCGAGACTCTCTCGGAGGCCTGATCGGTTTCAGTAAAAATATCTGAAGCGTGGCATTGTAATCAAGTGAGCCTGTTGTCTCTAAACCAATCCATAACACAACAAATTTGTTATTTGGAGGATCCTTTTCAAAAAGCAGAAGGGCTAAGTGGACCTAGTCTTAATTAATCGGTATTGTTTTTAAAGTGGCGTATTCAGGACAAGTCTGCAGACCTTAGGGATGCACTCATCACTGGATGGGTCTAAGATCGCTGGAAAAATTTAATGAGCCCATTTTCTAACTTGACCGCACGTTGAGTATTTTAATTTCCGAACAAATGAGTCCTCCCATCAAAGTAGTCTGTGTCCCTCCACAGCCTATTGCCAGGCAGATGGCTCTTGGGGATGCTCAACTTGCCCCTCAAGGGGTCCCTGGAAATGGGGACACACACAGCGTCCCCAGGAGTTGTCTGAAGACAGATTCTGCCACTTACAGGCAGAATAAATACTGTCTTCGGTTCTGTCTCTAAATTCCTTGTTCCCTGACTTGTTGCCACAGTTTAGAGGGAAAGACCACGGCTCCCACAGCAGCCACCGTCTCCCCGGGTCCCAGGTTTCCACATTCCCGCAGCACCAGGGTGAGCTACCTCAGACTACAGGAGGAAGCAATAAGCTCATTTTACCAAAAATAGGCAAATGGCTCGCCTGGGATTTCTCTACGAGGTAAACTAATAAATGATGCTTGCCTTTCTTTGGATTACCTTTATGAACAATAAACTGGAATATAAAGTCTAGCTATTCCTCTATCCATATCTATCTATCTATGTATCTATCTATATCCTCTTCTATAGATATACACATGGGATGCTGTGTGCATCCCCATTTCCAGGGACCCCTTGAGGGGCAAGTTGAGTATCCCCAAGAATGCTCTGCCCGGCAATGGGTTGTCAAGGAACATAGGCTACTTTGATGGGAGGACTCTTTTGTTCAGAAATTAAAAAATTCAACATGAGGTCACATTAGAAAATGAGCTCAGTTAATTTTTCTACCTGTCATCTACCTATCAATCATCTATCTACATATCTCTCTTCTAGCATCTATCAATCATCTATCTTTTATTATCTGTCAGCTACCTATCAGTCATCTATCATCTATCAATCATCTATCTTCTATTTTCATCTATCTATCTAGTCCATCTATCTAGTCTCATCTGTCTTGCTATCATCTGTTTTGTTAAATAAAACTCCAGCCCATATCTCAGAGGCCACACACACCCTTTCCTACCTCCCCAAACCCTTCCCTCCTCTTCAACTTAAAAAAGCTAAGCCAGTTCTGGAAGCAACCTGAATGAGCATTCTTAGAAAATGTGGGCCATGTCTGCCCAATGAATGTAACAAGTATTGTAAAGGCCCCTAAATAGCAGAAAGTGGGGAGTGCTGCGAGAGAGTTTCTGGAGGCCACCGAGGAAGGGGCGGGGTGTGCTCGTGTGGCTTTTCATCTTCAGAGCCTTGGTGTCACCTTTCCAGGAGCCAAGTGCCAACACCATCATAACATTGATTTTAATGGAAGTGGACACACATCAGGGTGGTCTGGGGAAAGTTGTCACCTGCATCTCATCAGCCTGGTGACAGCACGAGGGAGCACCCTTCCTTGGCCTCTGTGACCTCCTCTGACCCTCACTTCCAGGGTCAGAGGTGGTCACAGGCACTGGGGACTCTGGCAAGTCACAGCACATGGGGACAGGCTCCATTCTCTGCGAATCTGAGGTAACTGTTCCCTATACATCCCCCACAACATAAACAACCCCCACAATATATACATCCCCTTCCACACAATATATACATCCTCCCACAATATATACACTCCTCCACACAATATATACACTCTTCCATAACATATACACCCTCCACATTATATACATCCCACACAATGTATACATCCCCCTCCACACAATATATACATCCTCCCAAAATATATACACTCCCCCACACAATATACACACCCTCCACAATATATACATCCCTCACAATATATACACCCTAAACAATATATACATCACATACGATATATAATCTCCCTCTACACAATATCCCACACTATATACATCCCCCACACAATATATACATCCTTCCACAATATATACATCCTCCCACAATATACACATCCGCCACACAATATATACATCCCCCAAAATATATACACCCCCCACAATGTATACACCCCACACAATATACACACTCCCCACAATATATACACCCCACACAATATATACTCCCCCACATAATATATACACCCACACACAATGTATACACCCCACACACAAATCGTTAGTTTAAATTTTAGAGGAAAATGTGAAAGGCACAAAAGGAAGACTCTTAAGAAATGAAGTGACGGGCTGTTCTGGTTGGAGTCACAAAGCGGGTGAGAGCAGGAGGTTGAGGCGACGCAGGGAGCTGGGAGAAAGGCCTGGAAGGGCCCAGCAGCGGGGCTGAGGGTGGCGGGGACAGGAGGGCCGACCGCCCCTTGGCGGCCACCGCTGCCAGGACACCTCCATGTGCCAATCACCATTCCCTGGGCCGACTCTGGCCCTCCCAGTTCAAACCCAAGGAAGGGCCTTGAAACATGACGACCGTTCCCCAAAAGTGACATCTGTGTTTCCGAAAGTGGCTTTTATGACTTCCAGATGACAGACGGGATCTTCCCAGACGCACAGGAGCGGCGTCTCTTCTGTGCTTCCACCTGAAATGCCCAACAACCGGAATCCTCATTTCATGGAGAGCAATAGACCACAAATAAAGCCCGCAGACCTGAGACGCATTTTCCGGGGAACAGCAGAGTTCGATGAGAATTGCGGAGGGTTTTCCACGAGTCACTCTCCCCGTGGTTCCTAGTGCTCACCTTCAGAAAGTCACGGCCACGTTTGGTGGCAAAGCTCCCTCACATCTCTGATTTCCTTGCTACAAGCTGAGATTTGCAACTTGAAGTTTGGGACCTTCATAGACATAGTCTTCTCAAAGAGATTTTTAAAAGCGTTTTTTTTTTTAAATTTTTAATTTTTTCCCTTAAATCGGTGTCATTTCTAAGGAAATCTTGCCCTCTAGCTCTCAAATCTTAAAATTGAGCTCAACCTAGTGACAGAGCCACACAATGGCAGATAAACGGACAATGAGCGCCATCTACTGGGTTATTGTCATAGTCCCCCTCAACACAAGGAAAAAGAAAAAGCCAACAGAAAGAAGGGCTGATGGATTATCTCATGCTGTGAGATAACACTGATGAATGTATATTTTCACCGTCAGCAGATTTCCCATTTCGCTTATTTGTAGAGCTACTTTCTATTGCGTCATCTATATTTCCCTCCCCTCTCTATAAAAGACAGCTGTCACTCATGAAGATCACATGATACATCTCCAGCAGATGTTTAAACTTCATTCATTTGTCAGAAAATTACAAAGCAGCCACTCCTCATTTTCTCAGCAATTCCTGCTGGGAATAAGGGAGAACGGAGATCGCAGAAGGTGCGTGTACTTCAGACGTAAGCCCAAATTAGTGAATCCACCTGATCAGCTCCCGGACCAGCAGGAACGCAGGTGCACTCGGGATCAGCAACTGTAGGGTTGCACTGAAGGTGCTGTGAAAGCAAGCAGGTCAGCCTGGGACAGACACCCACCTGCCCACTGCGAATTCACTTGATTTGACTCCACTATTCCGTAAATGGCATGAATTATTACATATGAGTAAAGGAAGAGACCAGATTCGTTCCCAATCATGAAAATGCATTGTAGGAGTTGGGAAAAATGGAACAATTTTGTAACCTGGATGGGATAGACAGGGTGAGTTGAGCCTACTGTTTTGTTCAAAATCTAATAACGATGGCTACCAGTGGGGAAGACATTTCATTTCACACCTTCTTATCTAATTTTGAAAGTTGGGTCATGTTAATGTACTATTATTATTATTATTATTTTGAGACAGAGTCTCACTCTGTCACCCAGGCTGGAGTGCAGTAGCACAATCTTGGCTCACTGCAAACTCCACCTCCTGGGTTCAAGAGATTCTCATGTCTCAGCTTCCCAAGTAGCTGGGACTACGGGTGTGCACCACCGCACCTGGCTAATTTTTATACTTTTAGTAGAAACGGGGTTTTGCTGTGTTGGTCAGGCTGGTCTTGAACTCCTGGCCTCAAGTGATCCACCTGCCTCAGCCTCCCAAAGTGCTGGGATTACAGGTGTGAGCCACCACTCCCAACTGTGTTATGTATTTTCAAAAGAAGAATACTGCTGGCACATGGCACATATTCAGTTAGTTTTGTTGAAATAATGGATCTGTGAATGAACATAAGAATTTTTGTTGTTTGTTGTTTTGAGACAGAGTCTCTGTTGCTCAGGCTGGGGTGCAGTGGCATGATCTCAGCTCACTGCAACCTCCACCTCCTGGGTTCAAACGATTCTTTTGCCTCAGCCTCCCAAGTAGCTGGGATTACAGGCATGCACCACCATGCCCGGCTAACTTTTGTAATTTTTGTAGAGACGGGGTTTTGCCTTTGAACATAATAATTTGATAGTGACATATGATGGACATGATGAGACTGCTGGGGTGGCCCTACAGGAAGAACAGACGCCTCACTCAGCCTAAGGGGTGAGGGTCCCTCATGAGTCAGCCTTCTAAAGAGCGTTCTGACCGGAGTTTCCCCAGCTCTGGATGGGAGGGTACTCAGGTGAGGGGCCGCTAGGCATTCATTCATTCACCCCTTAAATACTTGCTAGGTGTTGCTTTGTGCAGGGTGCTGCACTCAGTACCATGGATATAAAAGAGAACAAGGCAGATGTGGTTCCTGCCCTCAGGGAGCTTACTGTCTTAGGCAGACTGAATTCTTGGGTGTCTCGGCAGAGGGCACCCAAGGTGCACCTCTTGGGTGAGGGCAGCTCCCCTCAGTTTGGCTTCTAGCCCAGCTCTCTTGTGGGACTGTCTTGGGACCAGAGCATGATCATCAGGAAATCACACACGAGTCATAACTCTACAGTTTCCAATGTAAAGTTGTGAACGTGGAGTCCAGCAGGACCTGCAGCTCATGGGGCTGGTTCTCTCAGCTCTCACTTTTTTCACTTATGGGAGAAAGAAACTTCCAGGTCATAGAGAGCAGACAAGAAGCACCCCATTGACAAAGTTTGGGTGCTCTAAGCAGCAGTGAGGAAAACAGATGTGGTTTTTCTGGCGGTAAAGGGGTAGCAATGTGGAGACTGCCTATCGTTTTTGACGTTTTACAAAGCACCCCGTCCCATCCATATCCCTCTCCCCATGGCCGTCTGCTTTGGGCTCCGGAGGGGAGTTTGACAGTGATAGTCCAGTGGTCTTCCCAGCTTGTAAGGCACAGAAATATAGTTTGTTACTGTTTATTGTAAACTAATTGAACTCATGAGATGATAACCTGGAAAACATGTGGCAACTCAATCTGTATCTTGCAAAAATAAGAGATTTATGTGCTCAGATTAAAACTGACCTTCTATTAAAGTTATGTGTTTGAGATTAATTCCAAAACCGTAGCAGCAGTCCTGATAAAATGGAAAGTTTCCCGGAGCCTCTGAAGCTCATTTACAGAAACAGACTTAGCTACCAGCTCGGCTGCAAAGTAAGAATGTGGGTAGGAAAAGATGGTAGAGAGAGAGAGAGATGGTTCCCCGTGTGAAACTGCAGTGATCTTAATCCTCCAGACAGAGCAAATCTAATTTTAAAACACTCCTTTCTATCCTAAGTCATTCCCTTGGTGGCCCACAGCCCAAGAAGTGACCAAAATCAGTAATAATATTTCCAACAATAATTAGAGTTTACTATGCTCAGATATTCCATTTATGTTTGCCTGGGCCCTGTGAGAAGGCATCACTGCCCCGTGTTAATGATAAGTCACAGCTCTGTGCCTTGGCTTAGGTGGCCATGCTCACAGGTGAGGGAGTTAGAGCTCCCACTAAATCTTTTGGCACCACATTTTCTGCACGTCCCGCCATGCACATGGTGATCTCAGAAGGGCACCCCGTTTGAGGACTCTCCTCCTCCTGTCATCACACTCACTCATGATGAAGCCCACCATGTGTACGTATTTAGCACTTTGAACTTGACCTGATGTGGATGTGCCAGGCGGTGCCCTGGGCGGTGGGAATACAGACGTGAAAAGCAATCCAAAGCAAATTGTTCTGGATAAAGAAACAGGTTCAGGGGAGTGAAGTGGTTTTCCTAAAGCCACACAGGTGGTGAACGGCTTTGCGTAAAGTCGTGGTATTGTCAACCTTCCGTGAGTGCTCCGTTGTGGCTCTCTCCCGCATCAGAGTATAAGCTCCCAACGGGCAGAGATCATCCCTAACTCACAGGCCATTGAGCAACCTGCCTAGAACATTGGGTAGATGCTAAAAAATAAACCCCGAGACTCACAAAATGACTTGCGAGTGACAGTGTAAGCACTTACAGGGTTACACGGGGTTAAATAAAATATGAGCGAGAGAGGAGACCTAAAGAAACAGACTCTCCATAGTGCCTTCACTCTATGCTTATTTATACCTTAACTCATCCCCAAAGTGGACTAAAAGAAATTATTCTATGTTTTCTTCCAGAGTAACGTGGCTTGGTATCATAGATAGCAATTATCTCGTTTAACCTTCATGGCATGTGACTGTGTGGAATCCTGCAGGCAATTGGGGCACTGTGGCGACTGTTTGCATATCTAAACATATCTAAGCATAGAAAAAGGATAGTAAAAACCCAGTATTATAATATTATGGGACCACCATCATATATGCGGTCCATCGCTGAGATGTTGTTATGTGGTGTGTGACTGTACAACTCCAGAAAGGTGTTATGATTCTCTTAAGCAGCCTCTTGAGGGAGGAATATGTTGTTGTCATTGTTTTGGATAAATAAATAAGCTCAGGGCTGGGTGCGGTGGCTCACACCTGTAATCCCAGCACTTTGGGAGGCCAAAGTGGGTGCATTGCTTGAGGCCAGGAGTTTGAGACCAGCTTGGCCAACATGGTGAAACCCTGTCTCTACTAAAAATACAAAAATTAGCCAGGTATGGTGGTGTGCACCTGTAGTCCCAGCTACTCAGGAGGCTGAGGCAGGAGAATTGCTTGAGCCTGGGAGGTGGAGGCTGCAGTGAGCTGAGATCATGCCATTGCACTTCAGCCTGGGCGACAGAACAAGACCCTGTCAAAAAAAGAAACAAAGAAAGAAGGAAGGGAGGGAGGGAGGGAGGAAGGAAGGAAGGGAAAAGAAGGAAGGAAAGAAAGGAAGGAAGGAAGAGAGAGAAAGAGAAAAGAAGGAAGAAAGAAGAAGGAAGGCAGGAAAGAAGGAAGGAAGCGAGAGAGAGAGAGAAAGGAAGGAAGGAAGGAAGGAAGGAAGGAAGGAAGGAAGGAAGGAAGGAAGGAAGGAAGGAAGAAGGTTCAGAGGGGTGAAGTGGTTTTCCCAAAGCCACACAGGTGGTGAACAGCTTAGCTAGACTGGCTCAAAGTCTGTTGAGTAACTCAGTGCTCCTGGCACCCCTTCTCACTGCTTCTCCATCAGGGACTTTGGAGACAAAATATCATAGCCTCCTGGGTGTAGGGTGGAGAAAACAGAGGTCCGGGCCCACAGGTCTTGTTGGTAGGTGAGTGGGGAGCTGAGTGACATTGGAGGGGCCTCCACCCGGCCCATGGGCAGGAGATTTCACAGGGCTGTGAGTGGCCCCTGGAAGACCCAGGGCTAACTGACCTGACAGCAGGTCACCTCCCACAGCGTTGCCAGTGGCAAGCTATGGGTTTCACATCTGGCTGTTGATACAGTCATTGAGTGTGGTACGATGACAAATAAGGAGGCAGAAGTTAATGATGTGTCGCCTGGTTAAGCAGGGCTTGCCACGCCTCATTAGATTTAAAAGAGTTATCTGAGACAGGGTAATTATCAGAGACAGTAAAACTGTTGTATTAAAAGATAAAAAAGCCAGTATCAAAGAGAAATAATTAACTGCTTAATAGGACATGTGTTGAGCTGCTTGGCTTGGTCCCGGGAATCAGACTCTGAGAGGCTGCAGGGGACCTTTCGGCAGGGTGGGGCCTCCCACGACCCAAGCCATTTGGGATCACACCCTTCTAACTGGACTTTCAGCGTGGACTGGGATCAAAGGAGGGAAGTCACATGAGAAAAATCAAGGTCATCCCACACAAACTATATTGATGGGCACTTCAATTTCTTTCTTTTTCTTTTTCTTTTTTTTTTTTTTTTTGGGGAGATGAGTGTCACTCTGTCACCAGGCTGGAGTGCAGTGGTGTGATACCAGCTCACTGCAACCTCCGCCTCCCGGGTTCCAGTGATTCTCCTGCCTCAGCCTCCTGAGTAGCTGGGACTACTCGGGCGTGCCACCACACCCAGCTAATTTTTGCATTTTTGGTAGAGACGGTGTTTCACCATTTTGGCCAGGATGGTCTCGATCTCTTGACCTCATGATCTGCCTGCCTCGGGCTCCCAAAGTGCTGGGATTACAGGCCTGAGCCACTGAGCCCGGCCAAACATCAATTTCTTTCTTTCATTTTTTTTTTGACACGGAGTGTCCCTCTGTCACCCAGGCTGGAGTGCAGTGGCGCGATCTCCGCTTGCTGCAAGCTCCGCCTCCCGGGTTCACGCCATTCTCCTGCCTCAGCCTCCTGAGTAGCTGGGACTACAGGCGCCCGCCACCACGCCCAGCTAATTTTTTTGTATTTTTAGTACAGACAGGGTTTCACCGTGTTAGCCAGGATGGTCTCGATCTCCTGACCTTGTGATCCGCCCGCCTCGGCCTCCCAAAGTGCTGGGATTACAGGCGTGAGCCACCGCGCCCGGCCTTCAATTTCTTTTAACTCATGTGTTTATTGGTAATCTTCTGAATAATTATAGGTAAGTGAAGATGTTCATCTATGTCAGGGAGCCCTCGGTCCCAGCAGGAGGCCGGTTAAGAGAATCGAAGGATCTCTGTGAGGCTGTACAGGCAGGCACTGCATAGTGATGTCTTAGCTAGTGATGGGCAGCATAAACGATGGCAGTCCCGTAGGATTATAACACCATATTTTTACTGTACCTGTTCTATGCTTAGCTACACAAATACTTACCATTGTGTTACAATGCCTGCAGTATTCAGTACGGCCACATGCTGTATAGATTTGTAGTCTGGGAGCAATAGGCTATGCCCTCTAGCCTAGGTGTGTAGGAGGCTGTACCATCTAGGTTTGTGTGAGTTCATTCTACAGCATTCTTGCAGCAACAAAATCGCCTGACGATGCATTTCTCAGAATGTTTCCCCATCATTAAGCAATGTATGACTGTATTTATTACCTGGGAAACTACTTACTGAATCATTTTTTATGAAAAGAAAAATGTTAAAAAGTTAAAGTCTCCAGCCAGGCGAGGTGACTCACACCTGTAATCCCAGCACTTTGGGAGGCCAAGGCGGGTGGATCACTTGAAGTCAGGAGTTCATGACCAGCCTGGGCAACATGCTGAAACCCCGTCTCTACTAAAAATATAAAAATTAGCCAGGTATGGTGGCGCGCGCCTGTAATCCCAGCTACTCAGGAGGCTGAGGCATGAGAATCACTTGAACCTGGGAGTCAGAAGTTGCAGTGAGCCAAGATTGCACCACTGCATGCCAGCCTGGGCAACTGAGTGAGATTCTGTCTCAAAAAAAAAAAAAAAAAAGAAAAAGAAAAAAGAGAAAAGGAAAAGAAATGCCACCAAGTTGGGTTGTTTCTGTGAAGCCCTTGTCACAGGTAAGTAGTTAGGCAAAGGAGGTTATTCAGTTTTGTTGCATATAATTTTTATGATTTAATTAATTCTTTTTTTTTAGAGATGGGGTCTTGCTCTGTTGCCCAGGCTGGAGTGCATTAATGCAATTATGACTCACTGCAGCCTCAAACTTCTTGGGCTCAGGTGATCCTCCCTCCTCAGGCTTCCACAGTGTTGGGATTACAGGCATGAGCTACCACGCAGGCCACTGCTTTTCCCTCCCTTCCTCCCTCCCTCTCTCTTTCTCTTCTTTTTCCCTTTCTCATCTCCTGATCCTTTCCTCTTTTCTACTTCCCTCTTCCACGGTACCTGTCCACGTCTTCTGCCAATCATTCGTGCCATGGGCACTGCTTGACTCTGGAGGCAACTGCAGTTCAGGGGGCTCCTCACTCGTTCTGGAGGTCCACCTGTGTCACCCTCTTTCTCTCACAGCTGTAGTGCCATCAAGGCTGAGGCTCAGCCCAGGTCTATCTACTCACACCCCCCTGTGCTTTCTCCCTCTCTCCCAGGTGCTTTCATGCCTTCCCTTCCGGTGCAGCATTGTGCGATCCCAGGAGAGCCTTTGCTATGCTGTTGTCCCGGCTTCCAGGGCTTTCTCTGCCCCCTTGGACCTCATCCAGATGTATTTTTAGAATTCTGTCTTCAACGATGTCAGTGTCTCCAATTCTGTCATCTTCTGACTTCCTCTTGAATTACATGGGGTGTGTTTTAAAACTGAAGTGTATCTTCCACGTAGTATTTCCTTGGTGTTTCACAGGTATGCATCTCATCTACCCGATGAGACTGACAGTCCACGGGGTCCAATTTCCCACATTGGCTCTTCGGTACTTTCTGCAGTGTTGATCATTCAGGAGCTTCCCCACGAATACATAAATTAAATGGAATTGAAGTTTCCATCAATATAACTTATACAAAAAGACCTGATTTATTTCATCTAGATCCTTATGGTAGATCCCAGTACACACACGGTGTCCGTTTAGAGGGTGTTGCCTGAAATGACCAATGCAGTTACATGAAGTACGACTAATTTTGTGGCTAGTAGAAGACGAAACTTCTTGGGATGGATTATAAATTGTGTTCTGTACAGATCGGATTATTTCATTAAAACTCTATATTTACTCAATTTCTGTCAATGTTCTTCCTAGAGGCAACATTTCGTACACTTAACCTCAGTAAAAATTCAAAACTGGTGAACAGGGCCAGGTATTGTGGCTCAGGCCTATAATCTCAGCACTTTGGGAGGCCGAGGTGGGCGGATCACTTGAGGTCAGGAGTTCAAGACCAGCCTGGCCAACATGGTGAAACCCCGTCTCTACTAAAAATACAAAAATTAGCTGGGCGTGGTGGTGCGTGCCAGCTACTCGGGAGGCTGAGGCAGGAGAATCGCTTGAACCTGGGAGGCAGATGTTGCAGTGAGCCAAGATTGCACCATTGCACTCCAGCTTGGGTGACAAGAGGGAAACTCTGTCTCAAACAAAACAAAACAAAAAAACAAAAAACAAAACAGAAGTGGTGAACAGAAAGGGAGAGGGAGGGAGAAAAACAAGGTTTTAAATATTGCACAAGAGTGGCATGATTTGGTGGCTCAGTTGTATAGCAGAAAAGAGGGTTTATAATATTTTTGTTTGTTTGCTTGGTAAAGAAAAAAAGAAGAAACATAGAACTATGTTCTCAAAAGACATTTAATCCAAAAAGGAGAGGTTCAAGGCCCCAGGATGTTCACAGTCTTGTACAACTTCATTTTACAAAGGGATTTTTTTTTTAAAAAAAAAGACCAATAAATGTAGCATGTTAACATTTTACCAAATAGGTCACAAGAGATTATTAGTACAAAAGCACAAAGAATTTCCTGAGACTGGCAAAAGCTCCAATCAAAACTTTACAAAGCTGACATTTCAGAAATGTGGATGTTTTTGAAGCCTAGGCATGTAGGAGTTCAAATGAAGACCTTAGTCCAATTCAAGTAATTTAGCTAAGATGGGAGAAAAAAAGAAATCCTATATTCTCAACAAGTCACATCCCATAAATTAATACCTAGAATAGTGATAGTGATTCCTGGGCTTTTCAAGTCACGATCTCCTTGAAGAATAGGATTTCTTAAAATTTACTTAAAAAAATTGAAATTTCTGCCAGATGTAGTGGCTCACGCCTGTAATCCCAGCACTTTGGGAGGCCAAGGTGGGCGGATCACTTGAGGTCAAGAGTTTGAGACCAGCCTGGCCAACATGGTGAAACCCTGACTCAACTAAAAGTACAAAAATTAGCCGGGTGTGGTGGAGGACGCCTGTAATCCCACCTACTCGGGAGGCTGAGGCAGAGAAATTGTTTAAACCCGGGGGACAGAGGTTGCAGTGAGCTGAGATTGTGACACTGCACTCCAGCCTGGGAGACAGAGTGAGACACCATTTGAAAAAAAAAAAAAAGACAAGAAAATTGAAATTTCTGCCCAGGTTATAGACATATACAAGAAGTCTTTTTAACTCTCCTCAAAGGATTAAAAAACTATGTTATACCATTCAGAAAAAATAATAAGCTCTCTAGGTAAAGTCCATAAACCTCAGGTTAAGAAATGTTAACCTAGAGGCCGGGTGTGGTGGCTCACACCTGTAATCTCAGCACTCTGGGAGGCTGAGGTGGGTGGATCACTTGAGGCCAGAAGTTCGAGACCAGCTTGTCCAACATGGAGAAACCCCATCTTTACCAAATACACACACACACACACACACACACACACACACACACACACACAATAGTTGGGCATGGTGGTGGCATATGCCTGTAGTCCCAGCTACTTGCTACTCGGGAGGCTGAGGCAGCAGAAATCTCTTGAACCCAGGAGGTGGAGGTTGCAGTGAGCCCAGATTGGGTCACTGCACTCCAGCCTGGGTGACAGAGCAAGACTCTGTCTCAAAAAAAAAAAAAAAAAAGAAAAAAGAAAAGAAAAGAAAGAAAAGAAAAAAGAAATGTTAACCTAGAAATATCCAGAAAGAAGGTAGTAAATAAATCCACATTTCATTCTGTCATTTAAAATTCATCAGGAGTTGAGCACAAATAAGGAGAGATAAGATTTTATTTAAAGTAAAATTAATTGTATTTAGTTAATTTATTTTAGGACCTCGGTGCAGAATTTCCATCTCTGGGTGGATACAATACTTTGATTTCTGAAGCAGAACAAATGAGTAGCGTTTCTGTCTCATCAACATGGTAAAGAAAGCTGCTCCACATTTACTGCTTTGTGTTTAATGTTTTGGAAACAGCAGCTTGAAAGACTGGAAACCCTGGAGCTAAAAATGAGCTTTCAGCAAACAGTCCTCTTCCGCCCTCATTTCACTTCTAGGGAGCAAGAAAGAGAGAGTGATATTTCCCAAATGGGAATGCCGTGAAAGACGATGAGCTGGTGGGGAACGCTTTCAAGAGCTGGATTTTATTGGTGACTCCTACAGTTTTCCTTATACATCTACTCAGCCCTCATATTTTCCCATTACAAATTATAGCATTTTGGAAAATGTATCTTATTTCCATATCCATTGCCAACTGTGTGTTTAAATTTATGCCATTTGTCCTGAGGGAAAGGAAACTAGAAATCAGACAATGTTAACACTCCGAAGCCCGACCCATCGAATTCAACCTCTTCTTTTTGTACAGAAGAGGCAAGTGAAGTGGAAGGAATGCTCAAGGTTATGCATCCACTTAATGTCAGGGCTGGAACTGAAATCTAGGGTGGCCCTTCTTTCTTTTCTTCTTTCTTTCTTTCTTTTTCTTTCTTTTCTTTCTTTCTTTCTTTTTTCTTTCTTTCCTTTCTTTCTTTTCTTTCTTTCTTTTTTTTGATGGACTCTGATTCTGTCACCCAGGCTGGAGTGCAGAGGCATAATCTTGGCTCACTGCAGCCTCCACCTCCCAGGTTCAAATGATTCTCTTGCCTCAGCCTCCCGAGTAGCTGAGATTATGGGCACGTGCCACCATGCCCAGCTAATTTTTGTGTTTTTAGTAGAAACAGAGTTTCACCATATTGGCCAGGCTGGTCTTGAACTCTTGACTTCAAGTGATCCTCCCACCTCTGCCTCCCAAAGTGCTGGGATTACAGGTGTGAGCCACTGTGCCCGGCCAGGTGGCCCCACTTTCTATATTGCTTTCACAGAGATGCCAGATCCAGTCTGGGGCAGGAGCCAGCAGCAGTGAATTCTAGAGACTAAGTTCATCAAAAAGTATATTTGCTTGTGCCTCAGTCTCCCCATACACAAAATGAGAGCGCAGACAAGGACCATGGTCACAGCATGAGGTTTATTCATACAAAAATACAGCTAATGCCTGCTGGAAAACCCTTTGATTTGTAATTGTTGATGAGAAGTCACTTGACAAGCATTCTTGAAGGCTGTTGTTGTGGTGAAGGTGAACGCAGTCCCACCTGGAGGCTGAAGAGCCCACCCACACTTAAGCCTAGAAGCCCAAAGAAACAGGATGAGAGGGTAATTCTTTCACGTGGAATCTCATTTTCTCAATCATTACCAGGCAACTCCAAATTTTCCTTTGAGGGTCTTCACCCTCTGACATCAGCATTGTAGAAACCAGGAGAGAGGAAAAGAGGGAAAGAGCAGAAGTTTTCTAAACGGGGGAAAGGAAACGTTTGTCGTCCCCACAATGTAATAAACTTGTTACAGGGTTTATTAAAGAGAAAACCAGGATGTGAGCAGAATTTCCTTTTTTTCTCCTGCCTGAGAATGCACTGGAATTTATTGTGCCTGAGCTTTCAAATCTGTTCCTGAGCTGTCAGCAAGGAGGAGTTGCAGGGTCTCAGTGGAGCCCTGTGGCCACGTTGCCCTCTACAAGATAGACCCTGCGTTACTCCTCTTCAAAGCCCAGCCCTGATCAGCCACACAGCCAGGAGCACCAGATAGGAGGTAAGCTCCCCACAGCTCCCAGTCATCGCAAAGGACATTACCATGCTGGAAATTAGGCAGACCTATCATTTGTTTGAGAACCACTTAAAAAATCCGCAGCACCAGTCCATGTCCTTTGTCTTGGCTTTGTCTTATCCTTTTAATTTAAGATTGTGGAGAAATGGATTTAGGGAAGAGATATCAGCTCCTCCTCCCTGGAGACACCAATATTGACTAACACTGAAAAAGCAAATAGTATCACATAACCTACTAAAATAAAGCAGGGAAAGTCATTATACTTTTACTTTATTGATCCAGTTCCTGGCTACATGGGGAAAAAAAAAAACTTACATTGTTGAAGCTGGCAATCTCTAATGCTACAACATGTTGTTAAAAAGTGGTGCATTTATCTGCACACAGGAAACAAGACATTATACTGAGCAGGAGCTGTGTTAAATAGTCCAGGGATATGCGTAACACTAAACAAACAGTGCTGGGCTAGGCCAGAAGGGAAAATAACCTCGTGAGGATGGGACGTGTGCATTTTAAAAAATTGTCAGACAGGTTTTCTGAATAGACAAAAAATACACTTCAAAGGCTTTCTTTTGATTTTGTATTAATGACTTCCAAATACATTTCTATGATAGCAACATCCTTTAAATGGGTCTTGAGAAGAGGGTCCATGCCAGCCTTGTACTAACCTCATTCAATATTTGTGAGTAAATGAATGGTACCCATTAAGTTCACATATTTAACTTTGAAAATTGGACTAATTTATAAATCATTACTAGGGTAATTACTAGGGTAATGATTTATAAATGAAAAATTGCAAGGATTAATATTTTTCTAGTCTACACACATGCATACATATATAAATATATATACATATATAAATATATGTATATACATATACAAACATGTATATACAAATATATGTATATACATATACAAACATGTATATACATATATAAATATATGTATATACATATACAAACATGTATATACATATACAAGCACATAAATATGCATACATGTGTATATATACACACTAAATATACATTGCAGCAAACACATTTTTGTTTGACAACCTCCTGGTTGCACATTTGACATTTGCAAAGTAACACATTTACCAAGAAAAAGAATTTGGATTTAATTGCTTTGATAAAGTCACAGTTTCCTTTGTGGTATTTAAAAGATCATGTTAGTACAAAGGTTTTCACAGGTCAGCAGCTTCTCACTCATTCTTTTTCACGAGAACTTTCCCAATCAATCAATTAACTAACAAGCATGTATTAAGGCAGGGGTCCCCAACTCCTGAACCATGAACCACTAGCGGACAGGTGGCCTGTTAGGAACTGAGCCACCCAGCAGGAGGTGAGTGGGGAGTGAGCTTCATCTGTATTTACAGCCACTCCCCATGGCTCATGTTACCGCCTGAGCTCCACCTCCTGTCCCTGAGACCCTCTTCGACTTCCTGCCATGGAACAACACACGGGCTTGCAGCTGCGTCCCTCCTATTTCTTTCTTCCTTTCTGTGACAACGGACAAGTTGCCCTTATCCCTCTGAGGAAGCTGTCCACCTGCACCTCCTGCCTAATCAGCAGGAGCATTAGATTCCCACACAAGAGCAAACCCTATTTGTGAACTGCACATGTGAGTGGTCTAGGTTGTGCACTCCTTATGAGAATCTAATGCCTGTTGATCTGTTGCTGTCTCCCATCACCCCCAGATGGGACTGTCTAGTTGCAGGAAAACAAGCTCAGGGCTCCCACTGATTCTACATGATGATGAGTTGTATGATTATTTCATTATATATATTACAAGGTAATAACAGTAGAAATAAAGTGCACAATAAATGTAAAGCACTTGAATCATCCCGAAACCATCTCCCCTCCACTGTCTGTGGAAAAATTGTCTTCCACAAAACCAGTCCCTGGTGCCAAAAAGGTTGGGGACTGCTGTATTAAGGTGTGTGTTCTGTACTAAGAATTGTATTGAATACAAAGAATTAATGATATTGTCCCTGCCACCAAGAAACATAGTTGAGTGGGAGAGATAGTTATCTTTTCCAGTAGGAGAGAGAGGAGTTTGTGCTTCAAGTATCATGAAACATTCTATACTATGTGAGTGATAAAGGCAAGCACTGTCCTAGGCGTCTATGTGCAGCTGAAGTCACTGAGGAGTGAGTAGATGGTGTTCAAGACCTTGGAATAGGAGTAGATCTTGGAAACACGGCGAAGAGGCAGAACACAGAAGCAGAGCCAGGAGTGACGTGTGCCAGATGATTTTAATCAGTGGTACAGTCTGGGGAACCAATACTCTAGATTTTATCCCAGGACAGACCCAGAACATCAGACATAATTAGATCATGCCGTTTAGCCTTATCTGCAGAAAACAGCTTTTCCGGAACTGTGTGTTGGTGTTATGTCCTTTCTTGACTAAAGTGAAGGAAGTCTTCTGGAAAAAGGTATTTAAAAAATCAGAACACTGCACTAGTCTTTTCAGTAAATGTTACAGGAAAAACTGGACATCCACATGTTTTTTAGAAAAAGAATATAGACACAGACCATACATCCTGTGTGAAAGTAATTCAAAATGGATCATAGACCCTAAATGTAAAAGCAAAACCATAAAAAATAGGAGAAAATCTAGATGACCTTGGGTTTGGTGATGACATTTTAGATATAACACCAAAGGCATGATCTATGAAAGAAGTAACTGAGAAGCTGAATTTCATTAGAACTAAAACTTGTACTTTGAGAAAGACACTGTCAAAAGAATGAGAAGACAAGCCACAGACTGGGAGAAAACATAGCAAAAGTCACATCTAATAAAGAATCATTATCCAAAATATACAAAGAATTCTTATAATTCAACTATAAGAGAATAAAAAACCTGGTTAAAAATGGACAAAATATCTGAACAGACACCTCACCAAAGAAAGCACACAGATGGCAAAGAAACATATGAAAAGATGCTCCTCCTCATATATCATCATGGAAATACATATTAAACAACAGTGAGTTCCCACTACACACTATTATATTATACCTGTTAGAATGGCCAAAATCCAGAGCACTGACAACATAAATTGCTGGTGAGGAGGTGGAGCAACAGGAACTCTCATTCACTGCTGCTGGGAATGCAAAATGGTGCAGCCACTTTGGAGACAGTTTGGCAGTTTCTCACCAAGCTAAATATACAGTTACCATGGGATCCAGCAATTGTGCCCCTTCCTATTTGACACATCAGGAGCATCGCCATCTTGGACAAACACTGCCATTTTAAGTTCCCCTAAATCCAGCCCCAAAACATCAGCCTGATGGCTAATGTCAGCATGAACAGAAACATTTCAACCCTTAGAAAACCTGCTCCGACCAGAAACATGCCAACCCTGAGATAACCCCAACTCCAACCAGAGACATTCCAAACCTACAATAAAACTCTCCTTCATACAGAAACATTCTGAGCCTGTGATAAGCTCCCCCTCCCTAAAGCCCTTAAATACCCTTAGTCTGTAAGAGAGAGCACTCCTAACTGAAATTGGCCAGAAGCCCTTCTCAGGTTTATTCTCCAAAATAAATCTGTCTTTGACTATTGAGCCACTTTCTGTGTTTCTTCTTTCTTCAACTCTTACACTATTTACCCCAAGGAGTTGAAAATCTATGTCCATACAAAACCATGCACACCAATGTTTATGGCAGCTTTATTCATAATTGCCAAACTTGGAAGCAATCAAGATGTCCTTCTGTAAGTGCATGGATAAATAAACTATGGAACATCCAGACAGTGGAATATGATTCAGTGCTAAAAAAGGAATGAACTATCAAGCCATGAAAAGACATGAAGGAAACTTAAATACATATTACTAAGTGAAAGAAGCTCATCTGAAAAAGCTATATGCCATATGAATCCAACTATACGACATTCTGGAAAAGGCAAAACTATGGAGACAGTAAAAAGATCAGGGGTTGCCAGGAGCTGGTGTGTTAGTCTGTTCTCATGCTGCTAATAAAGACATACCTGAGACTGTGTAATTTATAAAGGACAGAGGTTTAACGGACTCATGGTTCCACATTGCTGGGTAGGCCTCACCATCATGGCATAAGGCAAAGGAGGAGCAAAGTCACATCTTACATGGTGGCAGGCAAGAGAGAGCTTGTGCAGGGGAACTCCCATTTATAAAACAATCAGATCTCATAAGACTTGTTCACTACCATGAGAAGACTGTTGGGGAAACTGCCCCCATGATTCAGTTATCTCTACCAGGCCTGCCCTTGATGCGTGGGGATTATTGCAACTCAGGGTGAGATTTGGGTGGGAACACAGCCAAACCATATCAGTTGGTGAGGAGGAGGGATGAATAGGGAGAGGATTTTCAGGGCAGTGAAACCACTGTGTGTGATACCATAATGGGGGATACATGTCCTTAGACATTTGTCCAAACCCATAGGATTTACAACACCAAGAGTGAATCATAGTGCAAACTGGCCTTTGGGTGATGGTGATGTGCCAATGTAGGTTCATTAATTGTAAAAAATGTGCCACCCTGGTAGGGACGTTGATAGTTGGAGGAGGCTGTGCATATGTGGAGGGAGGAGGTATAGGGAAAATCTCTGTACCCTCTTCTCAATTTTGCTGTGAACATAAAGCTGCTCTAAAAATAAGGTCTATTTTTAAGTAATAATCATAAAAATATAGAGGCTGAACGAATCATTGATTGAAGGCCTTGAGGGAGCAGCAACGGACAGAGCTGTAAACCTGTGGGCACAAGGTCTGTGTTTAATTCTCAAGCTGCCATTCACCAGCCTGCCAAGTTTTTAACCTCTCTGAGCCTGTTTGCCCATCTGTAAAAGGCGAATGAAAATCAATTCAAAGGAATTTTTTCTATGGATTAAACTACATAGAGGAGCTTTAATAAAGATTTGTTTAAAAACCACCTGGCTATGACTTCAATGTTGCAGTGTGGATGGGACCCTGTCCACCACGGGGCCTGGAGTCTCTCACTGGGAGGCCACGGCAGAAAGTCTTTAACTCCAGGACCAGAAAAATAAGCCTCTCTTCTGCAGTAACTTGTGCATTTTGTCGTGGTTGGCTAGACATTTCAACCACATAAACCCCTTGACCATGGAGAAGTGCAAATCCAAAATGAAGGCCAGTAACTCACATGACGTGACAGTCTGCACCTCTGGGCACTCACTTTCCTTTACTCCCTCCCTCCACTCTCACATGCATTTTTCTGATCTTTGTCTCTTCCCTCAGATCTTATTGGCTGCACTCTCGCCAGCCTCCACAGTTGGTTCTTCAGCTTCAGTGGGACCTGCCATCTTCTGAGACCTTTGCTTTCTTCTTATTTCTGAGTTCCTTCCTATCCTGGTTTCCTTCCACTTCCAGCATAGCTTCCATCATCAGCCACTTCCACTACCCTCTGCACCTCTCCCTGGCCCTTTGTTTCCCTGTCACACAGGACCCCGTGATGGAGCCTTCTTTCTACCTGCTCCTGCCTGGAGGGCTAAGGGCGCTGCAGAAGAGCCTGGCTGTGCAGTCTGGTGGAGGCTTCCTCCTCAGTGCCTGCATCCACGCTCAGCTTGCTCTCCCTCCACAGGCCTCCAGCCATGCCCCAAGCCTCTCTCTCCCTCCACAGGGCTCCAGCCATGCCCCGGGCCTCTCTCTCCCTCCACAGGCCTCCAGCCAGGCCTCGGCCCCCTCTTCCCCTCCACAGGGCTCCAGCCACACCCTGGGCCCCTTCTTTCCCTCCACAGGCCCCCAGCCATGCCCCGGGCCCCTCTCTCCCTCCACAGGCCTCCAGCTACATCCTGGGCCTCTCCTTCCCACCACAGGCCTCCAGCCACATCCTGGGCCTCTCCTTCCCCCCACAGGCCTCCAGCCACATCCTGGGCCTCTCCTTCCCTCCACAGGCCTCCAGCCACATCCTGGGCCTCTCCTTCCCTCCACAGGCCTCCAGCCACATCCTGGGCCTCTCCTTCCCGCCACAGGGCTCCAGCCAGGCCACAGCCTCCCTGCTCTTGGGTGACTGTCTTGATTTCTATTTTCCAGAGTAAATAAAGGCCCCGAGCCCCCTCGACTTCCTGCCACGGAACAACACCCAGGCTTGCAGCTGCATCCCTCCTATTTCCTTCTTCCTTTCTGTGACGACAGACAAGGTGTCCCACCCCCTCTGAGGAAGCCGTCCACCTGCACCTTCTGCCTCATCGAGAAGGGCCTCTCTTCTGAACTTCACATCTTTCATCTCCCAGCATCTTTCCATTATCTTTTAAAATGTTCAAGTTAAAATGTTCTTTTTTTTTTTTTTTTTTTTTTTGGCAGGGTCTCATTCTGTAGCCCAGGCTGGAGTGCAGTGGCGCCATCTTGACTCACTGCAGCCTCAAACTCCTTGGCTCAAGCAATCCTCCTGCCTCAGCCTCCCGAGTAGCTGGGACCACACGCATGCACCACCACACCGAGCTAATTTTTGTATTTTTTTAGAGACGGGGTTTTACCATGTTGCCCAGGCTGGTCTCGAACTCCTGTGCTCAAAGGATCTTCCTGCCTTAGCCTCTCAAAGTGCTGGGATTACAGGCATGAGCCACCGTGCCCAGCCTCTATTTTTTTTTTTTTTTAAATCTCCCTCAACCCAACTTCATCTTCTATCTACTTTCTGGAGTCTCTGCTCCACTTTGAAGTCACAATTTGCATGGGCTGCTCCTGCTACATCCTTCTTAGTCTGCCACAATCTGGCCCCCATCCCAAATCCCCCAACATCTGCCCCTCCACCTCAATGAAACTTCTCTTGCCCAGGTTATTATTATTTTGTTTGTTTGTTTGTTTTGAGATGGAGTCTCACTCTGTTGCCCAGGCTGGAGTGCAGTGGAGCAGTCTCAGCTCACTGCAACCTCTGCATCCTAAATTCAAGCGATTCTCCTGCCTCAGCCTTCTGAGTAGCTGGGATTACAGGTGCGTGGTACCATTCCCAGCTAATTTTTGTATTTTTAGTAGAGTTGGGTTTCACCACATTGGCCAAGCTGGTCTTGAATTCCTGACCTCAGGTGATCTGCCTGCCTCCACCTCCCAAAGTGCTGGGATTACAGGCATGAGCCTCTTGTCCAGGTTATAAACAACCACTTCATCACTTTCAGTCCTTGTCTTACCTTTCCTCTCAGTCAAATTTGTTCAACTTACTTTTCTTGTCAAAACATGATTTTCCCTTGGTTTCAGAGATAATACCCCTGCGTGGGATTTTAGCCCCCTAAGCCCCCCAGATGCTCATGTTTGGTAACCCATGTAGGCCTTCCTGCCTCTCTGTCCATCTGTTAAATATTGACCTCCTCCAGGGCCTATCTATTAATAAGTAACTCTTTTCATCCCACACACACTCAGAACTCATCAATACCAGAGCTTTAGGGACCATCCCAGCTCTCTCATGAACCCCACACTCTCGCTCCAGCTGCCGACCAGTTACTTCTGGTGGGATGTCCCACAGACCCCTCAACTGCACAAGTGCAATATCTACTCATCCCTTCTCTTCCCCAAATCTGTCCTTCTTTTCATGTTCCATATCTCAGCAAATGGCACCACCAGTTAATCTGCCTAAGCCAGAGACCTGGAAGTCATTCATGGTTGCTGTGTCTACTTCAGCACCCTCATCCAATTGACCAAAAGCCTGCCTGTCCTATCTCTGGACCATGTTTTAATCCATTCTCTTGTCCCCAGGTCCACTGCTCTTAGCTCCATGCAAGCAAGACTCCTGGTCTCCCCCCAACACCCCAGCTTTCCTCCCATCTCTCCATGATCACATTGGCCAGCAGGACCTTTATGAAATACAGAGGTAGTCATGCTGTTTCCTTGCTTAAAATACTCCAGTGGCTTTATGTTGCCCTTAGGACAGGAACCACTCCCTTTCCCATGGCCTGCAAACCTTTCATGGTCCATGTCCTGATTCCAGGCTCAGCCGTGGACCCCCGGCCTTAGGACGCACAATTTCCCCTGCTAGGCACAGCCTCTCCTTCTCTGTAGCCCGTCTTTGTGAGTTGAAAGGGATGTTGCTGAGCTAAACCTTCCTCCTGCAGGATCTGTTCTATGAAACTGTATGATGATCACAGAGGAAGTTTGATGATGAGGCTCCTAGAGAAGCAGATGCCTTGTAAGCTCTCCGTCACTAAGGGAAGGATAACCCCTCAGACGTCCTTTCTTCCTGGGGATTTAAACTGGTTATCATTGTAAGGATAATGCAAAGAAAAATGAACCTATTTGGGATGGTCAGATGAGTGATGCCTATTTGTGAAAATAAACACAGCCTGGGCGTGATTTGTCATGGACATCTGGTACAGACAAGAAGAAAAAAAGGAAAGGGGGAGAAAAGATGTCCGGAGAGAAGAAGGGGAAGGAGGGGAAGAGAGCAACCACCAGCTGAGGACCAGAGCCTTTCCCCTCCCCCTAGCAAGGATCAGAAACAAGGATCAAGTGCCCTGTCCATCCAGGGAGACTGAACCCACTGCCTCTGAGTAACATGTTCTCAGGGCAAAGAGTTTAAAAGAAAGAGGAGGAGATGAAGAAGAAAGAAGTGGAGAAGGAAGAAGACGAGAGGGAGAAGGAGGGGGAAGAGCAGGAGGAAGAGGAGGAGGGGAAAGAGGAGGAGAACAAAGAGGAAAAGAAGGAGACAAAAAAGGAGAGGAAGGAGGAAGAAGAGGAGCAGGATGAGAAGGAGGAGGTGGAGGTGGAAGAAGAAGAGGAAGAGGAAGAGGTGGAGGAAGAGAAAGGTGGAGGAGGAGGAAGAGGAAGAGGTGGAGGAGGAGGAGGTGGAAAAGGTGGAGGAGGAGGAGGAAAAGGGAGGAAGAGGAGGAAGACGAGGAGGCAAATGAGGAAGAGGAGGAGGCCTGTATTGGTAACTTCCTGAAATTTTTACTTGTTATACTGAAATCATTTTCCCAATAAATTTAAGTACCTTGATTCACCATAGGTAAGAATCAGACTAAGAACGATAAAAAGGAAGAAGTGGCCTAAAAAACACAGACCAAAGGCCATCTTGATGGCAAATGCCACTGCCCCTGTAGGCAAACGCAGCAGGACCACTGCGCCCTTCGTGCCTGGCACATACGCATCACCTTGTGCTGGGGCCAGCTGGAGGGGCTCTGGTGGCTTGTTATCAAGGAGCCTCTAGTCTGACAAGCATGTTCTGCATGGCGTGGGTTCCGTGGCTCACTCTCAGAGCTTCTGTCTTTTGGAATCCCTGCAAGGGTCTTAAGGGCAGTTTCCACTCTAGTAGTTGTGAGAGCGCCAGGCAAGTCCATTTGCCTTTCTTTTCCTCTTCCCTTCCCTTCCCCAACTCTGCCCCCTCCCCCCTGCTACTCCTAATCCAATCTCTCACTACCCTATGGTGTTAGAAATCACAGTTCATAGATCAAAATGTATAAAAATAAATTATTTTAAAATCCATATTTTTCAGCAGCTTTTAAACTAGCCTTTCAGTACGTGGAATCTTATGAATATGTGAACTTTGACCTCATTCCAGTGCAGACGTATCACCACTATAACTTTGAATTACAGTATGTGGTTCTCTCTCAAACAATTATATTCACAAAACCCTTTTTTTAGAAAAATTTTATCATCTGTTCAAAATAGGTTATTCTGCATTCGGTTTATTATCATAAGGCCCTATGTGCAAGATAATCTTTACATGCAGATGAAATGTTAGCAAGAAATGCAAGTTTGCTGAGATGTTATTAAAAAGTCACATTATACTCTGAGACCTGAAAAAAAAGAAAAAAAAAATTAAAAGCCACATTAAGAAAAATAATCACTTATAAATTAATCAGATATAGCTACTTCTAAATTATACAAAATTTAAATGATTGAAATTATGCCACATAAGTTAAATAGACTCTTTAGCAGCAAAATAGAAAGATCTAGGTCATTACCTTTAAATTTACTCATAATTCTTGTTGTCTGAATCAGCTAGAGCATCAATTGTTCCACCTATATGACAACGTGATAAGTATGATAACTTTTCTATCTTGCACACATGAAGATTGCAAACATCAAATGACATTTATGTAAATGTATCATTTTGTTATTTGTAGAAAAAATAAAACTTTTGAAGTTCTCAGAATTAATAAGCGATCAGAATTAGCAAGTGCATGGCAAACACTCACTTTCCTTTTCCTGAGGTATGATTTTGGATAGTCTGAACGGAACTGGGAGGCCGTTGTATTAGAACAAGTCACTTGGCTGGTGAGAAAACTTAGCCAATGATTTAGCATGTAGTTCAGCTTTGGTTTTCATTCATGCGTTCATTCAAGTATTCACTTCAACTTGTTCTGTACGTCAGGCACTGTGCTAGGTACCAGGCTGTGGAAGAGTAAGAAGGAATATAGATAACTCTTCCAGTAATTTTGACCGGTGTAGTAGAAATAATTGATTGCCAACAAAAACCCATCCTCCCTTTATTAATAGTAGTAATGTTAGGCTGTGCACATGTTGCCCAGCTAGTGACTGAATTTCCTAGCCTCCCTCATAGCTCACTATGGATGTATGACTATTCTTGCCAGTAAAATGTGAGTGGAAGTGATATGATATGAGCTGTCATAGGTTTAGGGCTTCCTACCTAAGCTGTGTGTTCATTTTCCTTCCTGTGAGCTTGAATACGGAAGCACCTTATGGTCCAGCTTGAACCATGCACGTAGCAACACTCGAGCAGAAATTGGAAACCTATGACCTTTGGGTCAAATCCAACTCACTGATTGTTTTTGTAAAGATTAGTGAATTATCTCTGACTGCTTTTGTGCTACAACAGCAAAGTTGAGTAGTTGTTGTGAGAGGGATCATATGACCTACAAAACCAGAAAATATTACTATCTGGCTCCTGATAACAAAAGTTTCCTAACGCCTTTGTTAGAGGATGGCAAAGCAGCAGAAAATATGAAACTGGATCCCCGAATGACCACTTGGAGCAGAGTCTCCTCAGCAATCTGAACCAGTGACCTTGGGATGATTATATGAGGGAAAAATAAACTCCTATGTCTTTTAAACCAGTATTTTTTACAGTCCCTTTGGCCTCTTCAAGAAAAGTCAGTTGCTCATGCTGGTGATATATACAATAGAATTCTGCACATATTTGGAGATTTGTAAGTGTCCCAGGAAATAAACCAAACTCAAATCCATTTGGCACTGATCTCTAATCTTGTTGAGGTAAAACAATTTAAAATTCCAGTTTAGGTAAGATTATAACAATGAAAAATTACAGGGGTATGGTCAATAATAGAACACAAGTTTTTTATTTTATTCTACTTAAATAGCAGAATTACATGATTTTTTCCCTTTATTTTGATACTCTAAGACCTAGTTTGTACAATGAGAAGTGAAAACAAATTATCTTAATTTTAGTTCTCCTTCCTCATTAATTACCTAATTTTTCCATTCTTCTGAAAATTACTGTTTTAAAACACTTAGTGTCAGCTCAAACTTGTAGACATTTTCAAAAAATGAATAATTTTAAAATGTAAAATGAACATCATCAACACATCAATAATATAGACAGAACACTAACAAACTGTATTAAAGCTTTTGTGATTAGGTTCTCAGTTGAATTTTCTGAGGCTTTTATTTTTTTGTTAACTTAGAAGAACTCACCCAGAATGAAATGTATTTACTTTATTTAGAGACCCTGTAATTCTGAGCATGTATTTCCTTATGAGTGGGCATTTCCTAACCTAGCACTAAGCAAAGAGAAAGGTGACTTGCAAATTTCTTCTTCCACATTTCCAGGACTCTTCACTGTTTCGTTTAAGCCTGCCTTCAAGCGTCTATCAACCCCTGCCTTGTGTTTTATGGATTTTTTTTTAAGGCTGCAGGGGAATTGCTGTCTTCATCCATGTCAACCAGAAGAATCAGAACAGGAGAGAGTGGTCCTGGGCACAGCAAAGGGGCAGGAGCCAGGATTTAGGATTCCCTTAAGAGCTGGGAGGCCTTCTGTGAAGTTCATGGGATGAGTAATGAGGATACAGGAGAGTCACTAAGAGCTAGAAGCTGAGAGCACCCAGAGGACTGAGTTCTTGGTGAAGCTACAGGATTTTTTTTAGAAAGCAAAACAAAAGTGGATCTGAAGTTTGGATTGTTGAAATGTCAGGACCTAGAGACAGTGTATATAATGGAAAATAACTAGAATTTGCATGCACTGAAGGTTTAGAAACAGTAGTCTAACAAAAAGTGAGCCCTGGAAAACCTGCCTGGGAGCTTCCTTTGCAGGAAAAGCACACAGTTTGGACTTGCATTTTCTATTTGGCAGCTTAAACAAATGTCTCCAATGGCCAGGTCTTGTAGTTCCTACATCTCCCGCCCAAGTCTTTGACTCTACGCCATACACACAAGCCACGGAGAAAAGCTTCCTTAGTCTTTGGGGTCAGAGTAAGGAGTAGCAGGATTCAGAGGTGTTCTCCCACATGGTTTGGACAGGAGCAAGAGCCAACGCTGTGATTTGTGTATTTTCAAGACATCATTCTGGCTACTGTTGACAAGGTCCAAGCATCACCTTTAGATAGATGGGACCCATCTTCAATCACATTATATAGTCGGTTCCTCAGGAATTGAGGTGAGACCTAACAGAAAATCATGGCTGGTGGGCAAGACGATGGAGGATATAGAAACTGCTGCTTTATCAAGAGTTGAAGGTGACAGTCAGCCAGGAAGTGGTCAGAAGACGCAAGTCCCCTGAGCCGCGGGAGCACTGCATTGGGACAGTGCCACGGTGCTGGGATGGTGGGAAGAAGCAGCTGCCTGTGAAGGCTGGGACATTGCTCTGCGGGATGCAGAGGTGCAGCTGAGGAAACTGCACACCACTGCCAGTCCACCAGCACAGCTCCACGGTGGCCTGCGCCTCTAGAGTGAGGCAAATGGTCACTGTGGGCAGCGCCCGGCTGGAAGGAGATGCAGATGTGACTCCATTCCACCGACTCCACTCCACTCCTCCTCCAGAACTTGACCCTTGTGGACTGTAGCAACCCTAAGCTACCTCTCAGGCAGCCAGGATTCTGATCTGGAGTGGGGCGATTCTTTTTTTTTTTTTTTTTTTTTTTGAGATGGAGTCTCGCTCTGTCACCCAGGCTGGAGTGCAGTGGTGCAATCTCGGCTCACTGCAAGCTCCGCCTCCCAGGTTCAAGTGATTCTCCTGCCTCAGCCTCCCGAGTAGCTGGGACTACAGGTGTGTGGCACTACACCCGGCTAATTTTCGTATTTTTAGTAGAGACAGGTTTTTGCCATGTTGGCCAGGTTGATCTTGAACTCCTGACCTCAAGTGATCCACCTGCCTCGGCCTCCCAAAGTGCTGAGATTACAGGTGTGAGCCACCGTGCCCAGCCGATTCTTATTTCCATTCTGCAGCGTTTCATGAGAGTTCTCCTGCTGCACCGCAGGGAGAGGCGGGACACTGGCTCCACAGCCAACCCCTCTGCACCCCGGATTCATGGGCCTATCCAGCAGACACAGGTAGCCGCCCACAGCCCATTGCCCACCCGGAGGCTTTTTTCCAGTAGAGAGATGAGAGCGTGTGTTCTGCCCACGTACGGACTAGCAGTTTCCACATTTCCTGAGGTGCAGGGCACCGTGCTGGCTGCTCTGGGGCATTAAAAAAAATTAAGAGACTGGCCGGGCGCGGTGGCTCACGCCTGTAATCCCAGCACTTTGGGAGGCTGAGGCGGGTGGATCACGAGGTCAGGAGATCGAGACCATCCTGGCTAACACGGTGAAACCCTGTCCCCACTTAAAAAAAAAAAAAAAAATAGCCAGACATGGCGGCCTGCGCCTGTAGTCCCAGCTACTCGGGAGGCTGAGGCAGGGAGAATCGCTTGAACCCGGGAGGCGGAGGTTGCAGTAAGCCGAGATCACGACACTGCACTCCAGCCTGGACAACAGAGCAAGACTCCATCTCAAAAAAAAAAAAAAAAAGGCCGGGCGCGGTGGCTCACGCCTGTAATCCCAGCACTTTGGGAGGCCGAGGCGGGCGGATCACGAGGTCAGGAGATCGAGACCATCCCGGCTAAAACGGTGAAACCCCGTCTCTACTAAAAATACAAAAATTTAGCCGGGCGTAGTGGCGGGCGCCTGTAGTCCCAGCTACTTGGGAGGCTGAGGCAGGAGAATGGCATGAACCCGGGAGGCGGACCTTGCAGTGAGCCGAGATCCCGCCACTGCACTCCAGCCTGGGCGACAGAGCGAGACTCTGTCTCAAAAAAAAAAAAAAAAAAAAAAAGTTGAGAGATGACATAACTCCTGCCATTAAATAATTTACGATCTAGTGAGAGGTCTACAAGCAGTGCTGAGCGATGGTGCAGGAGCTTGTTCTTGCTCGCGCTAGAAGCTCCTTACTGTGCGCTGCAAAGAGAAGGGTCTTGCCCTGGAGGAGGAATTTAGAACATTGTGAAGCAAGGATAGATCATAAATGAGGCTAATGGGTAACTTCCCAGAGAAAATATGGATTCGAGCTGAGCAGAAGCTGAAATCTTGGCCCAGCATTAGCAAAACTGAAATCACACTTTGGAGATGCATTACTTTTTAAAAATTATTTACTGATTTAATGCATCCACTGAATTTATAATTTAAAACTAATTATAAATTGTATAATTATATTTTTATAATTTATATTTTAAATGTTTTATATTTCTATTTTATATCTTTATACATTTTTATTTAAAAACTTTTTATAACTTAATTGTTTAATTTATTATAATTATATAATTTTATTTTTATTGACGGGGTCTTGTTCTGTCTCCCAGGCTGGAGTATAGTGGCACAATCATAACTCACTGAAGCTTCAAACTCCTGGGTTCAAGCTATCCTCCTACCTCCACCTTCTGAGTAGCTAGGATTACAGGTACATGTCACCATGTCTGGCTAATTTTTAAGATTTTTGTAGAGATGGGAGTCTCACTACGTTGCCCAGGCTGGTCTTGAACTCCTGACCTCAACCTATCCTCCTGCGTTGGCCTCGCAAAGTGCTTGGGATTACAGATGTGAGCCACTGTGCCCAGCCAGCATGACTTTATTAAACAGTTCTGAGTTGAGCTGCTGTTCTTACCAGCAGGGCTGCACGATGGCTACGCATGTGGATGGTCACGGTCCCAGGGCAGGAGTCAACAGGGAGCTTCTTCTTATTATTATTATTATAGATTCAGGGGATGCATGTGCAGGTGGGTCACATGGGTGTATTTGTGTATTGCTGGGGTCCGGGCTTTTAGTGAACTGATCACCCTAATAGTGAACATAGTACCTGGTAGGCGATTTGTCCAGCTCTTGCCGGCCTCCCTCCTCCTCCTCTTTTGGAGTCCCCCATGTCTATTGCTTCCATCTTTATGGCCATGTGTGTCCCCTGTTTAGCTCCCACTTATAAGTGAGAACATGCAGTATTTGACTTTCTTCAAGAGGAAGTTTCTATGGGGTTAAACCAACTCTGCTTCCACAGGTCTAGAGCCAACTGCCCTCTCCGTTTTCTGTTTGCAATCCACTGAGAGTGGTGACAGGGGGAAAGAGGCCTGGGAAATTTGAGGTGGTGCTTTGGTATTTTTCCGAGTGAATAAAATGATGACTAGCCACGCAAATGTATCACAAAGAGGAGAGAGAGGCACAAGCCTTGGTGAATCTTTTTCCCTCCTTTTCAACTTTCCTTTGTTGTCACAACTATTTCAACTTACTTTCCAAGCATTTAATAGAGTCTTTTGAGAAAACAAGCAGGTCAAAGACTTGAAGAAACATATGCCAATACCACTTAGCAAATTTCCCACCCAGAAATCCACTTCCAACCCAACCATCTGCTGCTCTGTCAGCCCAAGTATTTATAGCCTGGTTCTTTGTCCCCATTACCAGGCCTTGCTTCCAGTACAGTGATTCCAGCTTTGTCTTCCTCCGCTTCGAAAGAAAGAACCAGAGAGTTTTCTTCCATTCCAGACATTATGGCAAAGTTACTCTCAATCTTAAAAAGATACGTGTTACCTCTGATCAAGAATTTGCCGCCTTTTCCGCCTCCATGGAGCAAAAATCACTGCTTGACTTCTCTCTTGTCATTCCAAGAGACGCTCTCAGATGGATTTGGTAATCAGAGTTAAGAACAGTGTCTATTAAGCCACTGGCATTCAGTCCTATTTTTAAAAGGCTGGATTTTATTCACAACTTGGGAAATAATATTATTGACCTAGAAAATCACAAGACTCAGAACAAGAGATTCGGACACCCATGGCAACAAAGGCAATCAGATCTATTCATCCTGGCCCAACTGGGAGGCTCTCATCTCTAAAAGGAACTCATCCCCCTCCATTTAGGCCTGACCCGAGGACCACAAGTCTGTGGTCCTTTATAGAAAAACTTCCTGGCAACATCAATGTCTCCATTCACATCACAGACCAGCTGGTGGATTCAAGACCCTTGACAAGGAGTTGGCTTCCAGATCCAGGCGTCTTTCTGCTGGAATCCTAAAGAGGCCAAGTTCCACCATTCTCATGACACCCATTCTTCATCATTTGATCAAAGGGAAACTTGACAAGTAGCACTCCCCATCGCCCCCACCAATGCTCCCCACTGTTCCCCTAATCCTAATACAAAGTGAAACCAGTAGCACCTTAGGAATGTAGAAACACACTTGCAGGTATCCCACACCTAGGTCAAACTCATATAACCTTGCAGACCAATTTTCTAGTGTTTGGGGCTTTAAAGGAACAGTTCCCCTTCCTTCCTCACCACCAAGACAAGAAAGCAAACAGGAACTCCATATTTACAGGTCAAGGTACCGGAAGGCTCCACAGCCAGGAAGGCTGGCAAGGTGGCTGCGGATTCTCAGGTGGGGACATAGACGTTGGTGTCCACCTGCTTGGGAGAGACAGGTGCACAGGAGGGGGAGCCCCCCAGGCCTGAGAGTGCAGACAGTGGGCCCCAGAGAGTAGTGCGTAGAGGCCCCTGGGCCCCAGGAGCACTCAGGCCTATGCTTGGGGTCAGGACACAGAAACTTGAGGGGTCTTGGGTCGTCCTTCTCCAGCTGGCCCACGCAGTCATAGGAAGCAGGCTCTCTGAGGTGAGGGGACCCCAGAAATGATGATGGACGTGGTGCTGGGGGCATGGAAACCCGTAGAGGGTCACGGGGTGAACCCCAAAATGCTGGGCAGACCTAGGACCCCACAACAAGAGTCCACAGCACAGTGCATAACAAGCCTGAAAGATGTCCTTTCCCTCTATCCCAGCCATCCTACTTTGGGAACGCGTGCCAAGCAAAAGAGACATGGTTATTTACGACATTTCAATAACTCACAGCAAGTCATGGCATACTGAAAAGTGTAAAAATGTTTTAGTATAATTGTTATTGATGTGGAGGAAAACCGCAGTATAATACTATGTGATCAAAGTGGCATACCATGGACTACAAAGCATGAAGCCAGTGATGGACTTAGACAAAAAAGCCTGGAAAAAATGTCACATGAGCCTCCCAGTAATCCAGAAGCTCCGGTTTGCCTCAATTATAAAGGATTTGGGGGTTATAGTCTGTATTTGCTGAAGTTTCTACAGTGAATTTCATTTATGACTGGAAAACAGGATGTTCAAACCCATTCTGCTCCTATCATCACTCAATGTCATCAAAACTTATAACTTGTAAAAACTGACTTTCTATTACTAAGGAAACTTGGTGTTCATTATTGAATTTATACACAAGGACTTCAGTGTAGACCAGGCAGAGGTGTGGAACTACAGGATATCATGTGCTGAGCACCCCAAATCACCCTCGATCCCATGACATTGGATGTGAACCTTTAGGGGGATCGACCAAGGCAGCTTTATAAGAAAACATGCTGGCTGGGCGTGGTGGCTCACGCCTGTAATCCCAGCACTTTGGGAGGCAGATCACCTGAGGTCAGGAGTTCAAGACCAGCCTGGCCAACATGGTGAAACCCCATATCTACAAAAAAAAAAAAAAAAAAAAAAAAATTAGCCGGGTGTGGTGGCACACACATCCGTAATCCCAGCTACTTGGGAGGCTGAGGCAGGAGAATTGCTTGAACCTGGGAGGCGGAGGTTGCAGTGAGTTGGGATCGCACCACTGCACTCAAGCCTGAGTGACAGAGTGAGACTCCGTCTCAAAAAAAACAAAAAACAAAAAACATGCTTACGGGTCCCATTTGTGATTTACATTGTTTAAATCAGAATGTTACTGAAATATGAGCAGCATAAACTTACTATTCCTGTGGTACATCAACAAGGATAAAGACAAAGTACATTTATGAATTAACTACAAGGAAAATGAAAATGAACCAGAAAACCTAGTTAGAATTCCAGCTCTGCCACTGCTGGTTGGTGACCTTCTGCACGTGGTTAATCCTCTCTCAGCCTGTTTCTCTCTGGGTAAAATGCCCTTAATGAGAGTACTGACATGTCTTTTTTGAAGGTTAAATGATATGATGTTTGGTGGACTCATTATTCATCATTGTTCTGGGGAACGTCAAATGCTGGACGCCAGGAGAGGGAGGGTTTCTCGGCCTCTCCATTCAGAAAGAGCCTGAATTGCTGCACTGAGCCGGATAAAACCTTCACATAATTCTGAGTATTGTTTAATCTTTAATCAACGTGAAACTACGTGTCCCGAGGGAAGCTGAAGCCACTTTCTTTCTTTGACCTCGTGTTTATGTTGTCCTACTTTGACATGGTTTGGAATCCATAGTTTTAGCCTCTTTCCTCTTTGTACAGAAGTTCCCATAGAGGTTGCAAATTGTTGTTATTTAAGTAATGTCTGCTGAGGAGGAAATCGGAGGAATGGGAGGAATAAGGCAAATTACTTGGCATACATTTTACGAGGAGCTTCCTAATGGAGCTAAGAACATGGCTGTGGTCAAAGCTGTGAAGTCTGGGGAAGATCACTGACCTCTGTTGGCCTGCTGAGGCCCCTGAGCTCAGGCAAGCAGCCAGTCTTTACCCTCACGCCCCAGGCTCAGTGCTCCAGCCGAGATCTCAGGGTCCTGCTCAGTGCCACCAAATCTATCAAGAGTAAGTTTTGTGCAATCTTTTGCTCCGTTTTATGGAAGACACAACAAAAAGGAACTCATGGGTCAGAAGGGATTTCCAGCATTTTTTAAAAAGTGTACAAATCCATGCAAATATAACAAAGAAAGATAAGAAGAACATTGGGGAAAAATAAAGAAAAAGATATGAGTTAAGGAATTCAAAAAGGATGAAAAACCAGAAAAAGCTAAAAAAAAAAGAAAAAATGGAAAGAACACCTGCCTTTTGGACTTTGGGGGCTTAAAAGTGTGTTTCAGACCAGTTCCTTGGTTTGATGTTGACACAAACTTGTGAATTTAGTCCAGCAGAAATTATCTTCATGATCTCCATCTCTGTGATGTAGGGAGATTAAGTCATTTGGCCAAAGTCAACCCACACACTCACTCACATGCACACAAAGTGCCGGCAGGAGTGAGACCTGAAGCTGGGCGTCTCAACTGCCAATCCGCTTTACTACGACAAGGAGCTGGCTTGCAAGGAAAGAGAGAAAAGAGTTTCTGAAAGTCCCTGGGGGCTGTGCCTGAGCCTGTACAAGTTTATAATCTCTGGCTGGCAGGGACGTACAGGTTAATGCTGTATTACAGATTTCTTCCTCAGCTTATCAAAATCCTTGGGTCCTTCTAAATAAGCACGTGCTAATTTATACACCAAAGCTTCCTCTGCTGCGTCTGCTCTGCATCAACTCTTTGCAATGTGCCCTGAGATTTGCTTTAAAGCCACAGATCAGCAATTTCATTGTGTGTGCATTCATTTGTTTGCTCAACAAATATTTATTGGGTTCCTAACATATGCCAGACATTGTGCTAGGTCCCCAGTATATAATGAGGAAACAAGACAGATTCACTCCCCATTGTGATTTAGGGGGATTGAGAGTGCTGTCATGCAGAGAAACTCTCCAAAGCAGTGGTGGGAGGGGCCCTTCCTGAGCCAGCTTCTCTCCTTGCTATTGCTCCTGTTGCCCTGCCATGGCAGGATCTCCACCCAGCCTCCCAGACTCTCCTGCACAGCGGCCCATTGAATCCTGCCTTCCTGTAGTAAGAACTTACGGTAGCTTGCTAATGGGGTGACACCCTTGCCTCTTGTGTGTGGACAGTGCAGTGGTTGTTTGCAGCAGGAAGTTTGCAATAGGCCCCCTCCTTGCTCCTGCATCCAAATTCAGGAGTTCTTTGGCTATCCAGTCAGGCGATTGGAAGAGACTGAGTCCCCCACATTATCCCCTAAACGATGTCCCACCAGAGAGTTTAGCCTGAGCACCTAAAAGCTGTCTTCTTATTCTACGTCTGCCAAATCCCAAATGATGATCACGATGCTCATTGTTCACTGAACCTCTTCCTTTTCTCCATTAGTAGAGCAATGTGGGAGTGGACGGGTAGAGAGAAGTTGGAAGTTGAGGATTTTGTGGCATGTTAGGCTTGCACTTCCCAAGTTAAATGCTGACCTTTATATTTGTGATGTGGTACCCATTGGTGGGGACCTAGAGGTGTAGGAAACAATGGGATGACAGAGCATCAAGAAAATGGAGGCAAAAGACCGTCTCCTCTCCCCCAGCCCCTCTAAGACATCCAGTGCTGTGTGAGGTGAAGAGTCACAGCTTGACGACCTGAGAAAAATCCTTTTGCTCTTCAGAGCTAAGTAAGAGTGTGCAGGAAAGAATTTCTCTTAAAGGACAAGAGCTGGGGCTCACTGGTGCCAGGATGATTGTTTAGGGTTAGAAGAGAAAATAAATGTGAGTATTTGTGTTATCCGCTGGAGCTGTCGTTTGTGCAAAAACTTTAATAAATCCCTTCCACGTATAAGCACTATGCTAGGTGCCAGGTATGCAAAGAATAGCAAGATATAAACCTCCTCCTTGGGATCTTATGATCCAGCTTAGGTTCTGGGAAAGGCATTTGTGTTGGAAAAACAAATAAATATTTAAAGAGTTTTTCAGTAAAATTGCATAAATCTACTTAGATGTTGAAAGCACAAGATGTCCTTGTTGGGGCAAATGGGTGACTAGGTGTCTGAGAAGCTGTAAAGGATGCATTTGGAACCCACTGGAGTGTGGTGAGCCTGTGAGCTGGGAGGCAGCCTGGACCTCATGATTTCCAGAAGCAGGAGTTTCTCCTTTTAGGTAGTGTCAGGGAGTCAAAGAGCTAGGGGGGCAGTGTCATTAGGGAGGAGGATGGTGTCAGAACCCGAGTAACCCTCCTCTTGGGACTTCCGGAGCTAGTCGGTGAAGAATTTAGAAGCAGGGCTCTTCCCATTTTGTGTATGTGTGATTCCATATTACTCATGGCCAGCAGGGATTGAAGAAAGCTCTGGTACATAGAAAGCAGGTTGACTAATTTCCCTTTCTTGGAAATCTGAGTGGCAAATCACAAAGGGTGTGAGTAAAGAGAAATGAGCTTTTTTTTTTTTTTAATCAAAGGAAGTTTAAAACGACATTGTTCTTGCTCTTTTCATAATATAAAATCTGTCATCATACTTCATGTAAGTAACTATAGATGGGAAGCCATTGACATTCAGTTAGAGGACAACAGAGAGCAGATTTCTGGGTTAGTTAAAATTAGATTTGGTCACACATAACAGAAAACCACAAAGCAATCAGTTGCTTAGGCAAGGTAGAGGTTCACTTCTCTGTCATGTAACTGTAATACTGGCTAGCAAGGTGGTCCTTACAAATTCATGCTCTGATCTTTCCACTCTGACATTTTCAGTGCATGGATGGCTTTTGTTTCCAAGGCCACCTCAAGGTCCAAAATAGCTGCTGGAGGTCCAGCTGTCACATTAAGGTAGGAAAGAGAAGAAAAGCAGAAATGCAAAACAAACTCTTGCTGACAATCTATGCCTTTCAATAAAACTTCCTGGAAAAGTCCCACTCAGCATTTTTATTTACATTGTATTGAGCCTAGCTTAGCCACATGGTCATGCCAAGCTGCAGGAGAGACCAGGAAATGTAATGTTTAGCACCCAGGTAAAAAGAAGTTTGGTCTTTAAGGAGGGGGGAGTGGATGGGTATTAGGTAATAAATGACAGTCTCTACTGCAAGGTTTTTTTTTTTTCTTTTTTTCTTTTCTTCCTTGTCCTTCTGTCTTTAGAGTCTAGGCCTCTTGTTGTGCCCTCTAACTTCCAATCCCACCCCACTCATGGAAGAAATAACTTACAATAGCTTTCTAATTGGCTAGATAGAGAGAGAGAGAGAGAGACAAAGAGAGAAAGATTAGATAGACAGAGAGACAGATACATAGAAATAGGTAGATTGATTGATTATAAGGAATATCCAATATTGTCCATGTGATCATGGAGGCTGAGAAGGCTTGTAATCTGCCATCTGCATCTTGGAGACTCAAGAAAGCCCATGGTGTAATTCATTCCAAGTCTGAAGGCCTGAGAAGCAGGGGAGCCAGTGGTGTAAATTCCAGTCTAAAATAAGCAGAAGAGAAGATGAGGTATCCCAGCTCAAGCAATGAGGCAGAAAAAAGGAGGTAAATTCCTCCTTCCTCTGCCTTTTTGTTCTATTCAGGCCCTCCACAGATTGAATGGGGCCCACAACACTGGGGAGGGCCATCTGCTTTACTCAGTTCCCCCATTCAAAGGCTAATCTCATCTGGAAATATTCTTACAGACACACCCAGAAACAGTGCTTAACCTGGGCACCCCACAGCCCAGGCAAGTTGACACATGAAATTAACCATCACGCCTCTCCCATGAAAGTCACATTCCCTCAACAAAGCAGGTCCTAGACGTTCAGATGTGGGTGGAGATTGAACAAACCCTTCCGGAGTGCACACTGTGTCCTGAGCACTACGCAAGACACTTCTGCGTCCCTTGTTCTCAGGGATACGGTCGACATATTGTGAGAGAATCCAGCTCCCCAGACGTGATATTACTCTAAATAGGCTGTGTCTTATTCATCTTTTTTCTTGGCACATAGTGGCCACTTATGAAGGCGGATGTCAGGAACTCTTACACATCCTCCTTCTTGCTCTTTTTCTCTCACTCTGCTCTTTCTCCTCCTTAGGAGCAGGGGAAAATGGAACTGAAGTGGGCCTGACTAAGCATTTCAACTTTCCAACCTGTTGTTAATATTTTCGTACAGGTTTTGGTATCTCTGTCTCTCAGCAGCAACCAGAGCCCAACACAAATGTGCAAATAGATAAAGTTAGTCTTTATTTCCCTTGGGGTTTCCCCTGCTGCTCCCTCTTTCCTGATGCAGAGGGCTGGCTAAGTGCTGGGATGTGTGGTGGAGACGTTGCTGATCAGGGCCTTTTTTTTCTCTTGAGACAGAGTCTCGCTCTGCTGCCCAGGCTGGAGTGCACTGGTACGATCTCAGCTCACTGCAATCTCCACCTCCCAGGTTCAAGCGATTCTCCTGCCTCAGCCTCCCACGTAGCTGGGATTACAGGTGCATGCCACCACGCCTAGCTAATTTTTGTATTTTAGTAGAGATGGAGTTTCACCATATTGACCAGGTTGGTCTTGAACTCCTGACCTCAAGTGATCTGCCTGCCTCAGCCTCCCAAAGTGCTGGGATTACAGGTGTGAGCCACCATGCCCAGACTGAGCAGTCTTTGTTCTCTCTACTCTCTCCATATGCCTGGCTCATGGTGAACATGCCTGGGTCAGAGGTCAGGGATGCCAACTTCACCAAAAGCAGAGGTGTATGTAAAGCTATTTCATATGGTACACCAAGTGGAGTTTATGAACTAAGGTCTCTCAGCCTCTCCCTGGGATCCAATCTTGTTGTTAGAAGTAGAAATCTAATTTTAGTTGGATTACTACCATGACAACATTTCTCTGCTTTAAACTATTCAAGCTTCAGGCAAGATAGTGTTGCTGACACTTTTCCCTATAACTTCCCCAAAATTACATATTTCTGCAAGTGAATGCATAATTTTCACTGCTTTTTTTTTTCAAAATTTTGAATCCCCCACAAGAATAATTAGAAATAATCATATGGTAGATCCTTGTTTTTGCAAGCAGTAATAGTACATACCTAAGTAAGAAAAAAGGATATAAAAGAAAAAAAAAAGGGAAAGACAAGCAATTATGAGGCTGTGTAGATTTAGCTCAGCATTTTTGTTAACAGGTCTGTATATTAAATTGAGCCTTTACCAAAAAAATATGGACATGTATTTTTTTAAACTTACAATGTAGAGAGTAAACATTGCAGAAATGATTAACACTTCAAATGATCTATGTGCTAATAATTTTGAGTTATTTTCTAACATATAAAATGTATAAGAGCCCCAAGACCATAGAGAAGGGTTTTCTAATGCCCACAGTTAAAAGTCCTTAATGCCAATGTGTTGCTTCAAAATGGCCTTTCTTGTTTACCACCTATAAGGTTGGGTGGAAGAGAACATCCTTCAGAAAATTTCTGTGTGCAGTTTCTCTCTGAGGTTGTCAAACCCTCCCAACTCTACCCCATCCCCCCAAAACCCCAGGTGATTTTAGGGTTTACCCTATCTTGCTCCTGTGATGCCATAGGCCCTTCTGCCACGAGGCAAAACCTCCCCTCCCATAGAAAGAGACACACTGGCGAGGGGAGTCAGGAAATTTGAGTTCTAACACCTGCTAATTACCTACACCTTTATGCCCAAGGTGTCTATAAAATGAGGAAATTGGAACAGATGATTTCTCAGGTCCTTTCTAGCTCGGTGATTCAGACTCTACTCTCTCCTATCTGAAATTCTGCAATGAGAATGTTCCGTCTTTGCCTTAACATAAATGTCCACGAAGGGATAGCATATTAATGCATATTTAGGAGTTTATATTTTAGTGTGAATTGTTTTGAGAATTATGATCAAGCTGTAAAACCCTAATTTCAGCCTTATTGCCGCTAATATAGGTAAGTTTACAAAGACTTACTGATTGTGTCTTGTTTTTCTTTTAATCTTTTACAAAGTGAGGATTCTCTTTCAAACTGTTGCTTGGATGGCTTGCATAGCTCCCTGCAGCCTAATTGCTTCAGAAACAGTGAAGTCTAATTACAAACCCTTCCGTGTTTTCTCTGATTTTAGTCTTCGTTCCTGTGTAGATTGATTTCAAAGTATGCCTTTGAAGATTAATCTCTTCCACTGAGCCCCAGTTAGGAAACAAGATTATAGCAATGGCAGCCAAAGTAACAGCTGGTTTTTTTGTTTGTTTGTATTTTGTTTTTTTTTTTTTGATTCACAAGTTGCTATACATTGTACTTTTTAATGGAAAAATCTCTGTATTTGAGCTCTTGTTATATTTTCTGTGGTATCTCAAAAATTCTCTTGGATATAAGCCATCTGGATTTTTCTGCAGTCCTCTCAAGTTTCAAAATAGTGATACTTAGAACGTATTTTGCAGGGTTTCTATCGGTCAAGGGCATGCAGTTCTGAAAATCTTGTGCTGTGAGGTCAGACAGGACCGTTGGCCATCTGCCAATTGACTTGCATTGTTTACCTTTTTAACTCACAACCCTGGAAACGCTGTTGGTGTCCCCCCGGCCTTCACTGGTTTTCTGAGTATCTGCCCCTTTGCCTGCTTGAAGTGCTTAGTCCTGGCTAGTGAAGCCTTTAGGAGTTCCCAATTTCTTGCTTCACAGGTTACTAAAAATGAAGACATATCTGTTAAGTGTTGCTCAAGAGACCAAAACATAATCCTAGGACAGGATGTCTGGAAAGGATGTCTTGCCTGTCACGCAGCATAATACATGGTAACAAGTACTGGCTTTGGAATTAAACTTCTATCCTTTCATTGCTAAATGGCTTTGGGAAAGTCACATTCCCATTTTGTACTTCAGTTTCTTCTTTTGTAAAAAGGTCATGCAAATATCTATCTTGCAGGTTTGTTGTGATACTTAGAGATTGTCTGTGAAGTGCCAAAATATGTGTGTGTGTGTGTATATATATATATATATATTTTTTTTTTTTTTTAAAGTCAACCTTTGGAAATTGCCCTCTGTTGTCGGATACTTTAGTTGTTTTCGGTGACTCCTTATTATAAATAATGTTAAACTATCTTATGAGAAAGGTTCTTCTACGCAAAGGCACCAGGGTCACCTAAGGTCCTGTCTGCTCAGGGCCCCTCAGAATGTCCCTGTCTACAGTAATCAGGAGAGTGTTTCTCCTTTGGTTACAGTGTGCAGGAATGAAGGGAAAAAGACTGGTAAACATATTAGGGGACATTCCAGTTGCATGAAAGGCATAAGTCCAGAGTCTTTTCATGCAACATGAAACCTTCATGCTGTGGCTAGGGTCCACTCTATAAAGAATATCTTTGCTCTTGCAATTTTCCATTGTGCAACAAGGACATGACTTTAATCAGACCATAAACCTCTTATTTCATGCTAGTCTGTGTCTTTTTATTGGTCTTAGTGTCCTCGTTTGTAGTTGTGCAGAGCTGTCATTTATCCCTTGAAAGGGAATTTCATAAGACATGTGATCCAGTGCACAGCTGTGTCAGTCCCATGAGAGGTGAATAAACTCGACAGGATGATAGTGGAGGAAGATCCAGGATGGTAGGTGTGCAGTGACCCTTGAGCAAACAAATAGCACAAAACAAAACCTGGCACCTATTAACTCCAGGGAAAACAAAAAGCTGTGCAGGGAAGGAAAAGTAATCATAGTTTACTACTCATATCAGCAACAAATGGCATTTACACAGTCACAAGAAGGTAAACAAATCTAAACAAAATTATGGTATAACTACATTGGGAAGATAAGGAACCAGGAAGTGTGTGTGTGTGTGTGTGTGTGTGTGTGTGTGTGTGTGTCTGTGTGTGTGGTGAGAGAAGAAGGTGAGAAAGAATATTATATACTGAATTTCTAGAGTTAGAAACCAAGACAGCAAAATCTGAAAAGTCAAGAAGCAGTAGTATAAACATTTTACTAGAAATGTAAAACTAATTCCAAAAGAAATAGCTGAAAAGAATTGAAAGTAGTTGCTTCCAATAAGTAGGATGCTCTAAATTATTTGCATGTATAATTTTAATAAAAATTAAAATGACAGGAAAAAAGGAACCAAGGAAGAAATATCAATTATAATACTTCTCAAGTAAATGTCCTTTAAAAAATGAAATTCTTCCTTTAAAAATGAAGTTGCATTTTACTTATGTGACATGAATTTCCTTTCCCTGTAAAACAATGACTCTCAATAGGAAAGGACTTCCTAACCCTAAAAATAACACAACTAAGTCAAAATGTAATAAACCGTGATGCACACTCATAGCTTTCATTTTTTAATTAATTTACATACAATAAAAGGTATCCATTTAAATGACATTTTGATTTGTATCTGTGCAATCTCAGCCACAATTAATATATAAATGATGGGGTGCTCCCTCCAGCAGCACATATACTAAAATTGCAGAGATACAGGGAAGATTAGCATGACTACCGTGCAAGGATGACTTGCAAATTCATGATGCGTTCCGTATTTTTAGTAACTCAGCAACGGAAAGTCAGATACTGCATGTTCTCACTAAACAATAGGTACACATGGACAGACAGAGTGAAGAATAGACATTGGAAACTCCAAAAAGTGGGAAGTTGGGAGGGGCGTGAGGGATGAGAAATAACCTATTGGGTACAATTTATACCGTTCAGGTGATGGTTACGCTAAAAGCACAGACTTCACCACTATGCAGTCTATCCAAGTAACTAAAATGCATTTGTACCCGCTAAATCCATAAAAATAAAATAAAGGTGTAGATGATGGCGCATTTCCACCATCGCAAGTTCCTTTCACCCTGTCTCTAGGGATGCCCATTCCCAGCCCCGGGCAGCCCTTCCTCACTTTCTGTTTCTTTAGATTCGATGTGCCTTTTCTAGAGTTTCACAGACATGAGCTAGAATGCCTAGGATGGACTCTTTTGTGTTGGGATTCTTTCCAATGCATCTGAGTTTCATCCCAATTCCTGTGTGTGGCGTACCGTTCCTTTTATTACCGATTAGTAACCTATTAGGTGCGTTTGCCATCATTTGTTTGTCTAGGATAGAACGCTTTGGCAAACCTTTGGATAGCTGAATTTTTAAAAAGATTTCTAAAGTCTTTTGACTACGAGCTCTTCCCCCTACCAGGCAAACTCTCTGATGGTCAATTATCAGAAAGGAGCCGGTGACTGACAGCGGAGTCTGCTGCTTCCGGGTAACCCAGCTTGGTTGCTTAGCAACAAACAGAAGAAGTGTATTAGTTTAGTGGATTCTGAACAAAAAGGTAATCATCTTTTATCCCCAGATAGACAGGAGACGATGTTATTCCGAGTGAAGTGGGGGAAAAATAAAAACCGTAAAAATGGAAAGAAAACACATCTTGTAAATAACCACGATGACGCCTTCCGTAGGCACACCAAGTGTGCTGTGAAGACCAAGAAATCCCTGTTTAGACAAAATACCATGGTGTTAGGTGCTGCTGTGCAAAATAGTTTAAAATTTGCAAATAACTGATACCAGACATTAATAACTCATGACAGAGATAAAGAGAAACAGGTTAACCTTCATTAGCATGAATTCTGCAAAGGATCCATCTGAGATGAGGAAGAAACCTCGTCCCCTCTCCATGCCCCTTCAGAATGGAAGGCTAGAACTCCGGTAGATGTTATTCTTCCTCTCGCTGAATTGAGTAATTGTTTTCCGTAGTAAATGTGATTGACTTGTGTTTGTTCACTGGATTCCTTAATCTCAAAAAGAATGGCATCCATTTTGCAGGCAATGATGCTGACGGAAGTTATTTTTTTTTTTTTAAACTTCCTCGGGAGTTTTGCCAACTTGCGATGGCTACTTCCTTCTCATTATCGGCACCTCCTTCCCAGCACCCAACAATATCATCTAGCAGAAATAGCTCTGCTAAGAATCACTGATTTAACGAGTAGACTGTCCTTCAGCCATTGAATGCGAAGTGTTTAATAATCAATCAGAGATCGGGTTCACTTAGGTTTACGGGGTTGAAAGGGAGACAAAAACCCTTCACCATCACTTCTCAGCCAGTCCTGGAGCCGCTCTCCACTTCCCTCCTGATGACAGGTTTCTGGGTTTAAATCATGCCCCCAGGGAATGGATGTGAAACTGTGGTCCTGCAGTTTGCTGTCAGTGCCTGGGTATCCTGTAAAAGACAGCTTTGCAGTTTCATTTATTGGAGGGGCAAAGTTGACTGCCAAATAATTGGGTTGAGACTCCCCCAACTCCCCCTTACTTTTCTTGGGATTGTAGGGACCACTTCTCCCCATAAACATATTAAATTGCAGCCTTCCAGAGGAAAGAGATAGAGGAACACATCTTTCAGAGCTGCTATTTTTTTAAATTTATTTTCAGACTAATTAAAAATGTTCTGGTCTTTTCTGGTTTTGAATTGTAAAGACGTGCGCTTGTCCTCTGCATTGTGTGTGTGTGAGAGCACACCGAGACAGAGGAACAGGAAGGCAGAGTCTGCAAAAAACCTTGCAAAACCAAAACACATCCTGGGGCCCCACACAATTAGTGAAAATCTTGCTGCTACTGTAGAGCCGAGGTGTAAAAACTTTGAGCTGCTAAGTGCTTGCAGCATTGTGCTCTCTGCTTGTGACATTTTGTGGCCGTGGTTTCTGCTCAGGTGAGATTTATCAGTTCAAAGAATAGACTCAATGGAAAAGTACGGCTTTGCACATAAACAGACTGTCGTTCACAACCACCACGTTGACGGCAGTTTACTGAAATTAATTCTCCTTTGAGTTAAAAGACTTAAAGCTCCCAAAGAATGTGTCCATGTTTATATATTTTAAAATATATAAAAGAAAAGCCAAATCACTTACCACTTAATTTCTAAGTTAGTGTTTCTGAGGGATGGAAAAAAAATAACTAAAAGTTTTGGACCAGAGAATTTTTTTTTAATTTTTTATTTATTTTATTTTATTTTTTTAAATTCAGATTTGGGGTCAGCAGTGGCACTGAGGTTTTGGTTGGATTCCATCTCATCCTTTTTTTCTCTGAGTTTTGTTTTCTTTTTTCCTCTCTGCTATAACTCTCTGGTGAAATGGCAAGGAACTAACAGTGATAAGAAAAAGTGAGAAACAGATCCGTGTAGCAGTAATGACGGAAACTAAAAAGCGACTGCACCCCTGAGACATACGCCAATTACAACACAGAGAAATACGATGCCATGACATCTGTTGGGCCTGTTGTTTACCAAGTCGAGGTGGCAAATATTTGTTGGGCATCTCCTATGCGTAATGCATCCTAGACGCCTATTCACGGACCTCAAGACATTTCTAGTAGAGATAACTTATTCTGAACAGCAATTCTCAAAAAACTTCAAGGATCCTCCAAGAAGAGTTATTTGAGTCAGAGGGTATCAGGGAACCAACAGGGCGTGAATGAGATGCGTGGGGAGTGGCTCAGGTCAGGGCCTGGGGATGACATGGGGCAGGAGAGCCATCCTTTTCAGAGTGGTCACTAGAAAGGTTTCATCATGGTTGTGAGGATTTGCTGCCACACTAGGAGGAGACTAGTCCAGGGCCCATGGCTCTGCCATCATGGAGTGTCTGGTCTGGGATGTGGATGAACCGTAGACATTGTTCCTGATGGTTACGAAGACAGAGATTGGGGGTTGAGGAAAGAGCGTGGAGGTAAAACAAATAGTTGCTAGTAGAGAATATGGGAACGCAGCAGGCTATATGCAGGGGAGTGTTGAGACCTCACCCCACCTGTTCAGAGTGGAGTTGAGCAGTGAGTGGGTAACGGGCCGATGAAGGCTGGTCAGGGTGTCCTTGTACACAGGGGCTGGGCTCTGACCAGGTGGTGTGAAAGCCAATAACTGTCATGTACTCGAAATGTCAGCCTCGGCCGAGCCCACCTAAGGTGCTCAGACATTTCCAAAGCATTTTCTGTGGGCTGCACCGGACCGGCTTCAAGTCTCCACAACCCCGACCACACTGGGGCAGAGATATCTTCCAGTGCAATCTGAGGCCTGAGACAGAAAGTGGCTTCTTGAGCTCACAGATGGCTAAGATTGGAGCCAGGACTCTCCAGCCCAGATATTTTAACTCTCCCTCCACCCTGCCCAGCAGTCCCCACAGTCTCAGAACTTCTCACCATCCACAGATATGCAAAAGCACCTTCCAAAACCAACCCCGGGGAAGATCTGACTCTGGATTTGGCGAAACAACCTTGAGATGTTGGGAAGTTCAGGGTTTCTCCACCTCGGCACTATTGGCGCTTGGGGCTGGATGATTCTCTGTTGCAGGGGGCTTTTCTGCTACCCACTAGATGCCAGTGGCACACCCCTTCCCCCGAGCTGTGACAACCCAAATTACTTCCAGACATTGCGAACAATCTCCCAAGGAGGCAAAATCACCCGTGGTTGGAAACCACTGCTGTGGTGTGTCTGTAAATATGGTGGTGTTTGTCCCCACCCTGTGTGACAGGTGTCCCCAAGGCCAGGATGAAGCTGCTGAGGCCAGGGTGAGCTAAGAGGGGGTGAGAAGAAGCAGCCTGAGTCTGGTGTCACACAGGACTGAGGAAGTCCAAAGAACAGGCTTTTTGTCCTGGTCCTGATGGCCATGGAAAAAAAATCACTTGATCTGTCCCACCATGCTGTTCCTCACGTCTATTGCATTGAGATAACTTCTATTTTATTGATTGTAGATATGGGGTCTTGCTCTGTTGCCTAGGCTGGTCTCAAACTTCTAGCCTCAAGTGATCCTCCCTCCTCAGCCTCCTAAAGTGCTGGGATTACAGGTGTGAGCCACAGAGCCTGCCTGAATTGAGATCAGTATTTTTTTTTTTTTTTTGAGATGGAGTTTTGCTCTTGTTGTCCAAGCTGGAGTCAATGGCGTGATCTCGGCTCACTACAACCTCCACTTCCCAGGTTCAAGGAATTCTCCTGCTTCAACCTCCTGAGTAGCTGGGATTACAGGTACACGCCACCATGTCCGGCTAATTTTTTGTATTTTTAGTAGAAATGGGGTTTCACCATGTTAGCCAGGATGGTCTCTATCTCCTGACCTCAGGTGATCCACCCGCCTCAGCCTCCCAAAGTGCTGGGATTACAGGCGTGAGCCACCGTGTCCAGCCGAGATCAGTTTTAATTCTCACATTCTACTGCAAAGGTAAAATGGTCTTGGGCTGCAGTTCTCTGTTTTGAGACACCAGACAGGTGAAAAGGCAGTAAAGTCCCTGGACTCTCATCACCAGTTGGCTGGAGACCCAGGGTATGAGCCCAGAAGGAAGGAATAACAGCAGAGGCTGGAAAGTGAGCCAGTGAGTGGGGCTGTGTATGTCAGAGCTTCCTGCCATCTCTCCTCTTCTTCCTCTTCATCCCCTTTCCTTCCCTTTCCCTCTTCTTTCATTCATTAACTGGTGAGACAACCAGCCAGCATTGCCGAGAGAAACAGGGAGACTGTGACGATCCACAGGGTGCGGTATCATGTTTGTATTCCACATAGTCAGTATGATTCAAAGATCCAAAAGTTTGACCCAGCATGTTGGACAGGCACATACACAACATACATGCATGCACACGCGTATATTTCTAGTAATTATCCACAGGAAGTAGTGAGTCCACAATGCCAAGAATTTCTCCTTTTCAGTGGCTATTTGTGATGAGAAGCAATGTGCATTCCACTGCATTCTAGCATCAGATTATGGGAGGGGAATGTGGTCATCGAAGGCATGTCCTCTTTCCTATAAAGATTTCATTCAAATAGAGTTCTGCATCTGATAGTAAAAACAAACAAACAAACAAACAAACAAAAAAACAGAGGACAATTTCTTCGCCAATGAAAATGGCCCCCTATGAAGGCATAGGAGCCTATTTCAAATAAGGATTAGGAAAAATTCAACAAGGGAAATGATGCTTTGAGTATGTTAACTTGCAAAAGGAAGAACCCTATTTCCTCTTTTCTAAGAGGAAGACAACTACTTTTGCTTTGATCAGAGTGCCGCTTGAGTGGCCAGAACTGACAAGGTTGGCAGAAGCGATGAGCTGAGAATTAAGGGCAGCGTCTGGGCCTGTGGGAGGTGCCATATGTGGGCTCACATCCACTGAACCTTGATCTCCTTTGCACACCTCCATGTAATTTATAAATCAGCAGTATTCACTCTGCCAAGAGGAAGTCTACAAAAAAGAGATGTGCTTGGCGCTCCTGGAAATGCTTTTACTTTGGGGAAAAAGCAGAGTGTACACTTTGAATGGAAATAAGCAGGCTGAAGCCACAGAGGCCATTTATATGCAGCACCGGGATGCAGACAGGAGAGCGGAGCCCTCCTTAAAGGCGCAGATCGCTGAGAAGGCTCATCTCTCTCCATGCTTAAGAGGCCTGACTAGGCTTGGGTCTTGTTTGATAACCAGGGCATAACATTTAAACATACTTACAAAAATTCTTCCATAAAATCAATTCATAAAAACTTCTAACTCTGAAGCAAAGTGTTAAAATAGGTACTGGGTTACCCGCAAGGATTGTTGTCAGAATAAAATGAAAGGACCTAAAAAGTTAGCATACCAGTTGAAGCCATTCTTACTAAGACATGCATTGTATGCTTGAATAGATAGAATTCAGAGCTAAAATCTAAACTTTGGCCGTCTGAACACTGCCCATCAGGATCAGCCACAAGAGCCCCCCCTCAATTACAAAGCTGGTCCTCACCACCTAGTTCATGTTGGATTTTGATCCTTCTCAGTGTCTTCACTTATTCTTGTTATTTCCAACATCATGTTTTCCAAATCCCAACTTCTTCCCTCACTGGCTGTGTGACCATGGGAAGTTACTAGACCTCTCTGAGCTTTTGTTTCCTCATCTGTAGAATGGGGTAACAGTACCACCTTCAGTTACAGAACACCCCACATCAGCTGGTTTGCAACATGCCCTTGATTTCCCCTGGTTTCTCTCTCGCCTTTTACTCCCATCCCCACCCTTTCCCATCCCGGGTCCCTGCTACATCTCATGACTGAACAACTCTTGCAACCCACGGGGCATAATTTTGCTCCTCTCTCTAGCCACAAGACAAAAAAAATGATAATAAGACTAATCATGTGAATTCGAGGCTCTATGCAGCGTCCATAGCCCACAATTCAGACTCTCCAGGGATGTTTCTGAATAGGAACCCCACAATTCGCCAGATGACAACACGTCACATCCAAATAACCCCTCTTCTTGCTTCGCCACACCAACAAATGGGGTCGTATAAATTTGGAGAGCTAGAGTAGATTTTCTCTCATCACTGCCTCTCTGCAGTTTTATCCACAGGAAAAAGAGAAACAGTTGAGTCTTGGCTACGTGAATTAATATCTCCTGTCTTATTTTTTTTCGTCGTACTTTTTTTTGTTTTCTTTCTTTTTCTTTATCGTTGTTTTTTTGTTTTGTTTTGTTTTTGTTTTTTAGACAGAGTCTCACTCTGTCACCCAGGCTGGAGTGCAGTGGCGTGATCTTGGCTCACTGCAACCTCTACCTCCTGGGTTTAAGCAAATCTCATGCCTAGGTCTCCTGAGTAGCTGGGATTACAGGTATGAGCCCCTATGCCCGGCTAATTTTTGTATTTTACTAAAAATAGTCAAGAGAGGGGGTTTTGTTATGTGGGCCAGGCTGGTCTCGAACTCCTGACCTCAGGTAATCCACCCAACTCGGCCTCCCAAAGTGTTGGGATTACAGGTGTGAGCCACTGCGCCTGGCCCTTGGTACTTTTTAATGACTTAAATAATATAGGCAAGTCTAAGGCAGGATGGAAATAGTTTTAAAACGAATTTTATTCTGAGATAAAACATCTGCTTTATTTTTTCTATAGGGAGAATGGTTTCATAATTGGTAACTTTCAGTATCGCTGAAATTTAAAGGTGGCTTGGTGATGGATTTGTCTTTATTTTAGTATGTGTTGCTTTCTGTCTCTATTTTATGTCTTTTAAGTATTTGATTTCTAAGTGCTATGGTATTTCATTTCCTTTTTAATGTGTCTTCTTAAAAATGAAAGTATATGATTATATAATCTTAGGCAGATGAACTACTTTCTAGTTATGACATCAAAGGACTAAAGTACAACAGAAAATATCTCAACACATGACTATACAAATATATTTTTAATGTCTATCAAATATTTCATATATAAAATTCAGAGGCACATAACTAGATAGGAGAAGATAAATTTCAAGTGTGTAGGAATCAAGTTTAATATCCTGTCAGGTGGTAGGGGCACACACCTGCAGTCCCAGCTACTCAGGAGGCTGAGATGGAAGGATTGCTTGAGCCCAGGAGCTTGAATCTGGCTTGGACAACATAGTGAGACATTGTCTTTGAGAAAAAACAAACCGAAAGCCAAAAGCAAAACCAAAGAGACAGAGAGAGAGAGAGAGACAGACAGACACAGAGAGAGAGAGAGAGCACTCACAAATCAAAAAGATATAAATGAGCATCTAAATAGAAGAAAATGAGTAAAAGACATGAATAAACATTTCGTATTGGAAGAAAATGAACTGAGCAATAAATAGAGGAAAGTATGTGCAATTCCAGGCATCAAAGAAATCTAAATTAATATGAGGAGACAACATTTTTAACTACTTTAATTGGCAGAATTGTTTCTTTTTTCAGTAGTCAACCTAATATTGGCGAGGATGCAGAAAACAGAAATGTTCAGACATCTCGCTACCGGGAATGAAATGCACAAATGATATTAATTTTCTTGACCCATAGTTTCTCATCTGATGCAATCCCATTTGATTGCATATTTGACCTTAAGGAAATATTTGCAAACGTTTAGTTGGAATGATAGTTATTATAGTGTTCTTTATTAAATAGAATAGTTAAGACATAGAAACATCTTAATATCTAACCAAAAAGGACTTGATTACATGAATTATGGTATATTTATACACTAGAAAACTAGGCAGCTATTAAAGTAACTATGATTTTCTTAGTCAGTGCTCTTCAGGTGAAATCGACTTGAATGAGTAAAGTAAGTAAAAACGCAAATTACTCAAAAGTCAAAACAAGCAAACTCATGAGGATGAGAAGTTCAGCCAGTGCACGTGGGGCGTGGAGCAGGTGTTAGGGCTGCCCACTGTCTCATCCATGAACACCTGTGGCATCTTGTCCCTGCCTCTCTCAACAGGTCTACTCTCATTTTCTGCTTCTCTTTTTAGATAATCTCACTTGGCCTACTCATGCTGTCTCCACTCCCTCATGAATTCCCTTTGCATGGAGCACATTCTTTGGATTTTAGCCGTGTCTGCCCGGACGCTGTTCAACTGTACAGCACACAGGCCTTCATCATGGTCTAAGGGACTCAGCCTTACAGGCCTGTCTCAGTAAGTTCTGGCTGCTATAACAAAATACCATAAACTGAAAGCTTATAAACAGCAGAAATTTATCTCTGACAGTTCTGGAGGCTGGGAAGTCCAAGACCAAGTTGCCAGCAAACTCAGTGTCTAGTGAGGGCCCACTTCCTCGTTAACAGGCACCCACCTTCTCACCGTTTCCTCACACGGTGAAAAGGGTGGGGAATCTCTTTGGGGCCTCTCTTATAAAGGCCCCAATCCCATTCATGAGGGCTCCACCCTCATGACCTAATCACCTCCCAAAAGCCTCACCTCCTAATACCATCCCACTGAGGGAATAGCTTTCAACTTATGAATTTAGGGAAACACAAACAGACCCTAGCAACAGACTAATTCCAAATTACTGGGAGAGAGATTCTGATTGACTCAATTTGAGTCTAATCCAGACCTGGTCCAATCACGGGTGTGGGGAAGGTATTTGGTGGGCATAAGTGAAGAGATGTTCTGAATTGGGATCACATGGTGCATAGGGTCAACTCTTCCAGTTAAATTCAGGGGAAAGGATAGAGTCTAGAGATGGATTTGGCATGTCTATCACACAGCAGAATATTGAACATTAGAAAAAAATACACTCTACTAAATGACAAAAAAAGTTTGCACTAAATATAGTGTGATTCTGATTTTTTAAAAAATATGTATATATACGCATATATATGCTGAGAATAAATTGCTGGGAGAATTCCTTGTCATGCACTTACGAAAGATTTTTCTTTTCTTCTTTGACACAGAGTCTCGCTCTGTGGCCCAGGCTGGAGTGCAGTGGCACGATCTCAGCTCACTGCAAGCTCTGCCTCCCAGGTTCAAGCGATTCTCCTGCCTCAGCCTCCCAAGCAGCTGGGATTACCGGCACATGCCACCATGCCTGGCTAATTTATTGTATTTTTAGTAGACATAGGGTTTCACCATGTTGGCCAGACTGATCTTGAACTCCCGACCTCAGGTGATCCGCCTGCCTTGGCCTCCTAAAGTGCTGGGATTACAAGCGTGAGCCACTGCACCCAGCCAGAAAGATTTTTCTTATTTATAATTTCTGTTTTCTAGATTTTCTGTAATAAAACCTAGCGTGGTGTTTAAGTCATAAGAAAAAATATACATTTTCATAAAGAGAAAATAAGTACAGTAAGGGCACACACATTTAATTAAAATTTTTTTTTATTATTTTAATTTTAATTTAATTTTATTTTTTTTTGTAGAGACAGGCTGGTCTGGAACTCCTGGCCTCAGTCTCTCAAAGTGCTAGGATTACAGATGTGAGCCACCACACATTTTAATTTAAAAAAAAAAAAGAAAGAGTGTAGAATTCTAAATTAACCCTTATTGAAAGATAATTATTCATAATAATGGGACACGATTTATAGTGGGACAGACAACAATATCACAGCGGGTAATATTACGGGTACCTTAAAGCAAGGAGTGCTTTTGCCTTAAAATTCATTGTGTTTCTATTTGGTGGATGTGGGCAGTGGGAGTTTAAGAATACGTTTAATCTATAGGAAAGCTATCAATACTGATATGAGTTTTTAAAACGTTTATATGCCTATTAAAGGTAGTAAGCCAAAAAGCACTGAGAAAATGTGTGATTTTAGAAGAAACAGAGAACTTGGGAAAATGCTGCAGCAGCTGGGGCATGACCCTTAGTCTTAGGAACTAGCTGTGCTATCTGAGAAAAAGCTTTCCCTTTTTAGCTCCTTCCCTGTCTGTCTGCTCTTGAGCCTATGAGCGTCTGTGCTGCCCTGAACATCTGCTTCGTAAGAGCCCCTTGCATTTCTTCCAACACACATTTCAGTTGGCCAGCAAGAACGGCCTTACAATGAAATGAAATTCTCATAATTTTACCTCAAAATGAAATTTTACCTCGAAATGAAATTTCAAGAGATGCCAAAACTCCCACTTCCACCCCATTTGTTCTAGAAAAGAAATATCCATTACACATTTATTTCTCGGAGTGAGTCCTGTCCAGAAGCCGGTATTGGAAACGCAGACATCCCTGTGCAAGAAGACACGCAACCATAAACACTTGAGTGTGAACGCTTCCGTCAGGGTGCGCTCTGCGGTCCTCCTGCTCGAGGGAAGGAGGGAGACTGGTGGCCTTTCAAAGGAAAGGATGCAAGGGCTGAATGGTTGCTAGGACGCCCCTGGGAAGAAACAGCTGGGATCAGCAGGAAGGCACCAGACGCTTGGCAGGAAACGACCGGCGAGAGATGGGGGAGCAAAGGCTCAGGGGCAGAACAGCAGAAGTGTTGACTCAGTGCAGGGCTGGTCCTGGCTGTCCCCAAGAGGTGACCCCTATCTTTCCATGGACTCTCTGCAGTTTCTGACTACCCCACTTCATGTAAATCCTGAGCATTTGGTGACTGAGGGCACTGTCCTCACCGTGGGGTGGACCGGGATAGGGGGGCAACCCATGGGCTCCTTGGCTGCCTCCGTGATCTCCCTGGCCCAGGGCCAGTTGTTCCTGCCGAGAGGCATAAATCAGCAGTTGTAACCTGTTGCAATGAAGGTAGAATCCACAGTTGTTTTTCCTGTAGCCCCCAGCTGGGCTTTTGCTTAATTAGGCTCAGAGGAGCCCGTGAATGATTGCGTTTGCCGAAACGCGTCACCAGAACACGCTGTTCTGATTTGGCTGCATCTGAGATTTTATGTTTGAATATTTTGCCGCCTGGCTTAAGCCAACAATATTTAAAATATTCTTCTTTAACTTGCATCTGCAATGAATGCATGGTCATATTCCTACAACCAAGTCCGGTAAGAGATGTTCCACATTCAATCCAGGTCCAGGTCTTTCAGTCTAGTCCAGGGTGGGTAGATTAGGGAGGCAGGGTAGAATACAGGGACAGTGGCAGAGGTGGGGACAACAGAGAAACCCCCAAAGAAAGGCCATCATCTAAAGGAGGTGACTGCCTGAGGTCAGGAGTTCGAGACCAGCCTGGCCAACATGACGAAACTCCATCTCTACTAAAAATACAAAAATTAGCCGGGCGTGGTGGCGCACGCCTTCAATCCTACCTACTGGGGAGGTTGAGACACGAGAATCACTTGAACCCAGGAGGCAGAGGTTGCAGTGAGCTGAGATCACGCCACTGCACTCCAGCCTAGGTGACAGCGCGAGACTCCACCTCAAAAAAATAAATAAAAATAGAAAATAAAAAAGGTGACTGGAGGGTCCCTGTGAGTGAGGCTGGGGCCCGTGAGAGTAGAGCTCAGTTCTTGGAGACTGAAGACTCATGGGAGGAACTCAGCAGGCAGAGGCCTCAGGGCGCTGCTGGGACTCTCAAACCACATTCTGCTACAGCCAGCTGCACCTGGAGGGGAAAGAGAAGTCCATTCAAATAATCAGAGATGTCCTGGGCTCATCGGGACCACTCAGCTGTTGCCTGTCCTAAGAGTACTTAGAAGAACTTGCAGTGAAATTTCCAAATAGAAGGGGGGGGGGGCGTAATTAATTATCCATCCCTTTGGGATATTGGAAAAATGCCCTCGGGTTATCCATTACCCTCTGTTAATCAGGACGGACTAGAATTCCATGATAATAAACAAGGCCCCAGATCTCACTGGTTTAAAACAGCAAATGGGCTGGGCGCGGTGGCTCATGCCTGTAATCCCAGCACTTTGGGAGGCCGAGGTGGGCAGATCACCTGAGGTCAGGAGTTCAAGACCAGCCTGACCAACATGGTGAAACCCCATCTCTACTAAAAATAAAAATAAAAAAAAATTAGCTGGGTGTGGTGCCAGATTCCTGTAGTCCCAGCTACTCGGGAGGCTGAGGCAGGAGAATCACCTGAACCCAGGAGGCAGAGTTTGCAGTGAGCCGAGATCACGCCATTGCACTCCAGCCTGGGTGACAAGAGTAAAACTCTGTCCCCCTCCCCCAAAAAAAATTAAAAAATTAAATAAAACAGCAAATGTCTGTTTCTCATTCATGCCACATGGCCATCACAGGTTAGCTGGTGTGTGCTCTGGTGAGGCACCAAGGTCCTCCCCATTCCTCCCTCCCCCCAGCCCCTGGCAACTGCTAACCTACCTTCTGTCTCTATGGATTTGCCTATTCTGGACATTGCATATAAATGGAATCATAATATGTGGCTTTTTGTGCCTGGCTCCTTTCCCTGAGCAGGGTGTTTTCAAGGTTCATTCATGTCATAACATGTCTCAACACTTCATTCCTTTTTAATGGCTGAATAATACTCCATTGTTTGAATATACCACATTTTGTTTATCCATTCATCATTTAATGGCCATTTGAATTATTCCACTTTTTTTGTCTATAATGAATAATGCTGCTGCTATGAGCAGCTTTTGTGGCATTCCATATGTTTTTGTATGTTGTATTTTCATTTTCCTTCATCTGTAAGTATTTTCAAATTTCCCTTGTGATTTTTTTTCTTTGATTCATTGGTTATTAGGAATGTATTGTTTAATTCCACATATTTGGGATTTTCTCAACTCTCTCTGCTATTGATTTTGAATTTAATGTGAAACTTTTCACAGTTGTTGATTTTGTACAAACCTACCAAGAAGTAGACATTGTGGACAATTCCACGTGACCCCCATATTGACCACCGATAGTTTCTAAGTGCTTTATGAACTTGCAGACTTGTGTTTTATTCTTCTTTCTTTTCTTTTTCTTTTTAAGAAACATATGATGCAGATACATGGGTGGGCTTATTAGTTCCTTATTTGTGTTAGAATAATGACCATCCCCAAAAGATGTCCATATCCCAGGGCCTGGAACCTGTGAATCTGTTACCTTAGATGGCAAAGGGACTTTGCAGATGTGATTGAGTTAAGGAACTTGATATGGGGAGGTTATCCCAGATTATTCAGTGGGACCCAGTGTAATCACAAGGGTCCTGATAAGAGACTGGCAGGACAGTCAGGGTGAGAAAGGAGATGCAGAGGCAAAATCAGAGGCTGTAGTGACGAGCTCTGAGGATGGAGGAGGGGGCTACCAGCTAACGAACGTAGGCGGCCTTTAGAAGCTGCAAAAGGTAAAGAAATAGCTTCTCCTTTAGAGCCTCAAGAAGGAATGAAGCTCTGCCAACAGTTTGATTTTAGCCCCAAACTCTGATCTTCAAAATTGTAAGTAAATAAATTTGTGTTATTTTAAAAGCCGCTAAATTTCTGGTAATGTGACAATAGAAAACAAATACACCAAGGAATGAATGATTTCATTTTGCAGTTTTTTTTATAATTCTAGCAGTTTGGCAAAAGAGAGTAAGGGCTAAACACCTGGCTTATGGAGTCAGATGACCTGAATCCAAACTCTGGTGAGAAGCTCTATGAATTGGGCATATTACTTAACTTGCTTAGGTTTCAATGTACATTTTTGGAAAAATGAATCCATCTCGTAAGATTGTTGTAAGGATTAAATGAGTTACTGCAGTAATACTGGTACAACAGTGTCTGGCTCACAGTAAACACTCAACAAATTTTAGTTGATTTATAGAACATGTTGTTGCACATTTCAGCAAATACTAGAGCTAGGAAGTAGAATTGTGTTGAGAATTCTGCATTGCTGTGTCCGGATTGCTGCTGTCACAGCCATATTAATTGCTTACAAATCAGAGAATGAGCATTCTGAGCAGCACGTGGTCCCAGGCTGTAGGTGTCTGCAGCGCTCAGGAAAAGCCCCGATGCTCCCCAGCAGCTGCACCTGCTCCCTTGGGAAGGAGTCTCTTTTTTGTTCCTCTTTCAGTTTCTGAAGAGAACAGAACATTTGCGCCATCTGGTTTGGGTCGTTATTTTAACCCAGTTTCATTTCCGTTTATAAAGGTATTAAATACTCCAGGCTATATTTGAAACAGTTTCAGGATCAGCATGACTGTAGTGTTCCTGGCTTAACCCTGAGAGGTTGCTGTTCCCAGTGACTATCTAGGCTGAAGCCCATGTAGGATTTGAAGAGACTGATCCAGGCTTTATGAGTGGCTGCGACCATGCTGTATGTGTGTATGTGTGTGTGTACACCGCCTAAGTGTGTTCATTTCAGCCACAGCAAGAGTTATGTTACAAGGATAGCATAGACAGCCCTGCCTATTGCAAGAGTAATGCATCAGGTGTGAAACAGATCTTTAATGCTGTGTGAAGCAGGCTCTTTTAAGGTCAGCCAGACTTTCTGGGGAAAAAGAAACTATTGCCTAACCCTTCAGGTCATGGAGACTTATGTTTTTGTGTTTTTCTCGCAGTTTTACAGTTTTAGCACCTACATTTAAGTCTTTGATCCCTTTTGTGTTCATTTTTATGGATAGTGAGAAGTAGGGGTTCAAATCCATTTTTTTTTTCATCTAGATATTCAGTTGTCCCAGAATCATTTGTTGAAAAAGCTCTTCTTTCCCCCATTGAATTGTCTTAGCACATTTTTCAAACATTACCCAACCACAAATGTAAGGATTTATTTTTGGACACTCAGTTCTATTTAACTGATCTAAATCTCTATCCTTATGGAAGTACCACTCTGTCTTGATTATTGTAGCTTTGTAGCAAGTTTTAAAATTGGGAAGTGTGAGTCTTCTCACTTTGTTCTTCTTCTTTCAAAGTTGTATTTGTTATTTTGGGCCCTTTGCATTTCTATGTGAATTTTGGGATCAGCTTGTCCGTTTTTGCAAAAAGAAAAAAAAGGCAGTCAGGATTTTGATAGAGATTGTGTTGAATCTGTAGACTGATTTGGGGAAAATTGCCATCATCACAGTATTAATTCTTCTGGTCTATGAATGCAGGATTTCTTTCCACTTATTTAGGTCATCTTTAATATATCTGAACACTGTTCTGCAGTTTTTAGTGCACAGTTTTGTATTTCTTTTGTTAAATTCTCCTAAGTATATTTTATGCTACTGTAAATGGAATTGTTTTCTTATTTTAATTTTCAGGGGAAAGTAAGAAAATGGTCGGTCATCACCTTCAGTCATCATCTCAGATAGTGGGATCATGCTTGACTTTCCTTTAAGTTTTCTTTTTAAAACTGCATTCTTCTTTTTTCCTTTTTTTTTTTTTTTTTGAGTCGCACAGGCTGGAGTTCATTGCTAGTGTGTAGAAATACAGTTGATTTTTGTATATTGATTTTGCACCCTGTAACCTTGCTGAACTCATTTGTTAGCTTTCTGTGGATTCTTCAGGATTTTCTGTACTCAAATTCATGTCACCTGTGAATAGATGATTTTACTTCCTTTCCGATCTGGATGCCTTTTCTTTCTTTTCCTTGCCTAATTACCCTGGCCAAACCCTCCAGTGCAAGATTCAGTAGAAGTCGTGAGAGCAGATATGCTTCTCTGGTTCCTGATGTTGGGGGGAGGCATTTCATCTTTTACCTTTAAGGATGTTTGTTGTGGGTTTTTGCTTGATGCCTTTTAACTGTAATCAGGTTGTGGAAATTCCCTTGTATTCCCAGTCTGTTGAGTGTTTTTATCATGAAAGGGTGTTGGATTTTGTCAAATGCTCTTTTCTGCATCTCTTGAAATGGTCATGTGGTTTTTGTTCTTTATTAATATACAGATAAGTGTATTACCTTGATTAATTTTCATATCCAAAGCAGCCTAGCGTTCCTCCTGAGAACTTCCATGTCTCAAGTACAACTTTCATTTTACAATGACCCCCCTTGCTGTTGGGGCCACACCACCTTACAACTTGCCCAGCTCAGGATGGCAATTCTGACTGCATGATCGCTTGATATGTCTTGACCAGATGCTCGGTTCTGACCAGAGCTCGGTAGCACACCTGGGGTGCTTTGTGGATGATGTGTGGTTCTTTGCGGGAGCTTGCATGGCCTTGTTGTAGAACTCTAAGGGTTTTCATAGTGACTCTCCTACAGGGGCTTGTCAGAAAGTCCATATGGTTCCTTTTTGGACCACAGATAACTCTAGGGCTGTGAGATCTGCTAGGTATTGGGGTGCAGGCATCGGGGCTGTTTGTACTGCAGCCTGGACTTGCTACAGAATCCATTAACTAACTGCTCACCCCAGTCAGAGCCATCAGCTTTCCGTGTCTCTAGGTAAACAGATTCAAGCAGTGTGACAAGCATGGAATATGCTGCTTTCCATAGACCTGTCAAGCATTGCGTTTTGTTCTTAATGGTACAATGTACAAAATGCAGTGTCTTGTTCTTTATTTTTGAGAGGATGCTGTATCATGTCTCAGACGACTGGATTCCTAAAAACTCCCCAAATGAAGCAGGTACCTGAATCTTTAAGGGTTTATCTCACATTTCCTGTAATGTAAGTTTCTCACTACAGTACTCGGATCACTTACCACTGCTTTCTCATTAGGTCCAATTAGTATGGTGTCACCAATATATGGATCCATGCGATTGATTATCTGTGGAGTGTCCGGATGGTCCAGGACCCTTCAGATTATATTACGATGGAGAACAGGAAAATTAACCAAAACCTGGGCAAGACTGCGAATGTGTGCTACTATCCATCCCAGGTGAATGTGAACTTCTTTGGATTCCCTTTATTGATGGGTATGAAAAGAAGTACGTTGGTCATGTTAATAGCTGTGTACCACGTGCCCAGGGCTGTGTAATCTGCTCTAATAAACATACCACATCTGGCACAGCAGCTGCCACTGAAGTTACAACCTGGTTAAGTTTGTAGGGATAGCCCACTGACCTCTCTCTTTATCCATCTGGCTTTTGCAGAGGTCTGCCTGGTGGATTAGATGGGAATGTGCTAGAAACCTTTGGTGTTGCACCATCCCCCCGACATCTTAAGGATGGCACTAATCCATGCCATTCCCCCTGGGATGTGTTTTTGGATTCCAGGAGTGCTGATCATGCATTCTTGGTATTCTCCTTCTCATCTAAAAATATACCCCCTGAGAATCTGAGCAGAACCAGACATTCTGTCTCCCATGAAGGAGGATGCAGACACTTTCCCCTTTTCCTTTTTGTAGAGATCACATGTGATTTTGATAGCACTTTGCCTTTTTAAATAGCACCAGCTTCGGTCATCGTCTCGGTGGCACCATGCTTGACTTTCCTTTAAGTTTTCTTTTTAAATCTGCATATTTTTTTTTTGAGATGGAGTCTTGCTCTGTTGCCCAGGCTGGCATGCAATGGCACGATCTTGGCTCACTGTAACCTCCGCCTCCCAGATTCAAGTGATTCTCCTGCCTCAACCTCCTGAATAGCTGGAATTACAGACGCCCACCATGGCTGGCTGATCTTTGTGTTTTTAGTAGAGATGGGGTTTCACCATGTTGGTTCAGGCTGGTCTCGAACTTCTGACCTCAGGTGATACACCTGCCTTGGCCTCCCGAAGTGTTGGAATTGCAGGCGTGAGTCACTGCGCCCACCCTAAATCTGCATTCTTAATATACTATCTGCACACACCTAACCATGTTCAATATTGGCCTTATTATTTTGATATCATAGCCCCATTCTGGGAAGTTTCTTGTTACTTCAACCTCATCCCAGTGGTTCTTTAATGGTCAGAAAATATGATATGATAAAAATATGAAAAACATCATAAAATCAAAACTCATTTCTTCAAAGTAAGTAATACATTTTTAAAATCTGTATTTTAAAAAATTCTGTTTTAAGGCAATAAACATGTGTGTTGGGCTATGCCAGGCCTGTCACATACCCGATGACATAGTGTTGACTAGGCACCTGTGGCATAGCCAGGACTTGCCTAATGGCAGTGCCCTGTGGATCCTATCTCCTAAGCCTTTGCCCTGATTGTTTGCCCATTTGGTGGTAAAATTAAGTGAAAGCAACATAAATTAGTCTAGGCTTTCTTCTTGCCAGTCTTCAAAACCTGGACCAGTCTTGATGGACTGGCTTAGCTCAATAGAAAAAGATTCTTGACTTCACAGATAGAAATGGAAATTTAAAAAGCAATGAGATACCTATTTATGCCCAATGGACTGGCAATAATTTAAAAGTCTGTTAATACCTATTGTTGTCAGGGAATTAGGAGAACGCTTATATGCTACTGCTCTTCAGAGAACAATTGAAACACCTATTCAAGTTAGAGACCTACGTACCCTGCAAACCGACTGCTCCATTCCCAGGTACATGTTCTAGGGAAATCTTTGCATTTAGACCAGACAACATGTACAAGAATTTTTTTTTATGTACAAGAATTTTTATAGCAGCAGGGCTTTTTCTTTTTTTTGAAATAATGATAAATTGGAAAAAAAAACCTTGGAAATCTGTTAACCTGTTCGTGTAAGAAAGTGAATTAACTATAACTACATGTATCAATATGGAAAGGCCTCAAAATCATAATGTTGAGTAAAAAAGGAAAGACTCAGATAACTTTATTCCTTCCCTGTAACAACTTGCCACACATTTGGTGGCTTAAAATAACCAATTTATTCTCTCACAGTTCTGGAGGCCGGAGTTGGAAATCAGTTTCACTGGGCACACATGGAGGTGTTTGAAGGGCTGCCCGTGCCAGAGGCTCTCAGGGAGAATCCCTTCCTTGTCTGTTCCAGCTCTACCTCCTCCTCTGCTGTGTGAGTAAAACCTCCCTCGGCCTCTTTGATTAGGATAAGGTGTATTTAGTGTCTAGCAGGACAATCCAGGAAATTCTTCCCATCTCAAGATCCCTAACTTGATCCCTTCTGCAAAGACCTGCTTTCACTCCCATCTGCAAACACCATTTCCGGGTTCCAGGGATAAGCCCTGACATCTGTGGGTGGCCGTTATTCAGTTACCGACAGTGTGGCATGATGAAAATGAAGTGTTAAAACAAGGACTGCAGTATTGTTTATTCCAGCAAATGGTGAGTGGTCCATCCTTCTCCAAGCCCTTTCTCTTCTTCTTCTCATGGTCTCTGGCATCTGGGAGAGTCCACGTGGCCTGGGTTGGGCTAACAGATACCAGCAGAAGTGATGCGTACAACTTCCGGCAACCTAGGTGCACTTGTCTCGCCCTCCCTGGGAGCAGATCCATCCTCAAACCTGCAGACAAGGATAATGCTGTAGTGGGTACTGAGAAAAAAAAAAAAAAAAAAAAGAAGGAACCTAAAGGAAATGTTGGAGCAGAAATACATTTCTATCTTATTCAAGCTGGTATATTTTGGACTTCTGTTGCTACAACAGTTTCATCTTTATCCTAACGAATACCCATACATGTATTAGTAAAAATATAAAGGTGTCCAGGGAATAATGTCAGACTGAGGAGAATGGGGCTTGGGGGAAGACGGGTGGCAAGAGGATGTGTAAGGAATACACAGTTGTATCTGCAAAATGTTTTCACTCTTAAGTTCAGTGGCAAACTAACGGATGTTCTTTATATTATTCTCTATGCTTTTTTCAATATCTGATTTATTTTGCTTTAAAAATCTATACTAATAGTGGATGAGAAAATAAATGTCATAGAAGGGGTAAATGATAACAAATTATTTGGATAAATCACAGATAAAAGGCTGTTTGACTGCACTGAGCTTTTTCTGGAACACTGCTTGCTTCATAGGACGATAATAAGAATGAATCATGTGTATTAGATTTCTTCCCAGGGTGATCAAGGGTGAGAATTTGCCCTGCGGGGAATAATGTGCTCTAAATCCATATATTTCCTATACTTTTAGATACAAAGACAAAGAAACAGGCAAAGAAACATCTCTGACATCAAGATCAGGAAGTCACAGAGAGTACTTGAGTACACATTCAGAAGTTTCAAGGATTTTCTGTTCGTTTATTAAACCTTAACATTTGCTGTACAAGTTTTCAACAGGCCAAGGTTAAGTGAAGAATGAAAATAATGTTTAACTCCATTACAAAAGAGGAGGCTTTTGATACAGACTTCATAATGTTCTTTGAGGAAGCAGGTATATGAGGTTTGTACATTGAATGGATGTTCTAGATTGAGCAAAATACCCTCTATGCACTCTCCTGCAGAGAGTGTGGGTGAAATAGAAATGTATTTCTGGATAGAAAGAGCAATGTATCACATGCATTCTGAAGAAGTCTAGCTGAGCAAAACCTTAAGATTTCCTGTTGTTGCTGGACCGTAGACATCAATATGACCGCTTAGCATAAAGATAAAGGTACCTCAGGGCCCAAGAATAAAAATTCCATCGAGCACAACTCAGCGCTCTGAAAATCTAGATTTCCCTAATCCCAGAGGGTGAGAGCCAAGGAGGAGCTCGTCCTGCCCATTCCTGCCTTCCTCTATCCCTGGCACTCACACCACAAGTTTGCTCTACTCTTAAACAAAAGCACCTGTGTTTTAAAATTTTCATTTTAAGTTCTGGGGTACATGTGTAGGACATGCAGGTTTGTTACATAGGTAAACTTGTGCCATGGTGGTTTGCTGCACCCATCAACCCATCACCTAGGTATTAAACCGCACATGCATTAGCCATTTGTCCTAATGCTCTCCCTCCTGCCAACCCCCCACCCCCGACAGGTCCCAGTGTGTGTTGTTCCCCTCCCTGTGTCCATGTGTTCTTACTGTTCAGCTCCCACTTATGAGTGAGAACATGCAGTGTTTGGTTTTCTGTTCCTGTGTTAGTTTGCTGAGGGTGATGCCTTCCAGCTCCATCCATGTTCCTGCAAAGGACATGATCTCATTCTTTTTTATGGCTGCATAGTATTCCATGGTATATATGCATCACATTTTCTTTATTCATTCTATCATTGATGGGCATTTGGGTTGGTTCCATGTCTTTGCTATAGTGAAGAGTGCTACAATGAACATACACCTATTTTTTTTTAACCCACATTATTTATAGTCTTGTTTTCAGTATTTTGGTAGGCAGTGCCTGGTCTGCTCCTCTCCTCCCTTCTCTGAGTTGCCCTTTTCCTCAATTCTCTTTTACCAACTTTCCTTTTGCGATCGTCTCTACTCTCCTTTTCTCTATACTTCCCCTTCTTTTTCTCTTGGCCTCGACTTCTGAATCCTGTGACAATGGCGTGGGGGGTTTGGTGGAGAGAGGGGAACTAAAAGTGGAAATGAGACACTGGGGAATAATCACAAGAAAGGAAACAAGACTTCCCAACTCTCCCCGGCTGTGAGCCCCACGACATGGTTTCCACATGAGCCTTCTCCCCACTTTTGGCTGCCTCCCTGACACGTTTCCAAGGAGACCTTTCCAAGTCAAGGCCGCAGCTCCCAAAGTATTGAAGCACAAACCCAGCCCACTTCCAATAAATCATCCTCTACATACAGTTGTCTGGTTTGTATCAGAATGTCCTTGGGATTCCTGTAATGCTTGTCTCCAGAGTCACTTAGCCAGCATTTTGGCTAGTTTTTGTTTTTGTTTTTTTTTTTCTGATACTCTGGTTGCATAAAGTTAAACAGGGTTTGCAAAATGTAATTTCATTATATGAACAACAAGTTCTATACACTGATGAATAACTTGGTTTTATGTGGGCACTTAATTCCCAGTCTAGTGCTAAGTCTTTATCTTAATTTTAACTTTTAAGGCAAACAATGCAAGGCATCATCTTTTGAGTGGGAAAGAGGAAAAGCATTTTAATGAATGAGTTCTTGGTTGGGCGCAGTGGCTCACTCCTGTAATCCCAGCACTTTTGGAGACTGAGGCAGGAGGATCGCTTGAGCTCGGGAGTTCAAGACCAGCCTGGGAAACATGGTGAAACCCCGCCTCTACACAAAAATTAAAAAATTAGCCGGGGAGGGGGATTGATTGTGTGCATTTGCAGCTGAGCTGCAGTGAGTCCCAGCTACTCGGGAGGCTGAGGGGGGAAGATTGTTTGAGCCTAGGAGGGTGAGGCTGCAGTGACTTATGATCCTGCCACTGCACTCCAGCCTGGGCAATAGAGTGAGACTCTCCAAAAAAAGAAAAATAGAATGAATAATGAATGAGTTCTTGAAAGGAGAGATGTAGCTGGGCACAGTGGCTCACATGCTTGTAATCCCAGCACTTTGGGAGGATAAAGCATGTGCATCACCTGAGGTCAGGCATGGTGGCGGGTGCCTGTAATCCCAGCTACTTGGGAGGCTGAGGCAGGAGAATTGCTTGAACCCAGGAGGCTGAGGTTGCAGTGAGCCGAGATCACACCACTGCACTCCGGCCTGGGTTACAAGAGTGAAACTCTGCCAAAAAGAAAGAAAGAAAGAGAGAGACAGAGACAGAGAGAGAGAGAAAAGAAGGAAGGAAGGAAGGAAGGAAGGAAGGAAGGAAGGTAGGAAGGAAGGGAGAGAGAGAGAGAAAGAAAGAAAGGAGAGATGTGAAAAATATGTTTAAGAATTTCTCATACATTCATGTCTGAAAGGAATCATTTTATTCATCCCTCTTTCATGGATGAAGACATTGAGGCCCAGGTGTGGTAAAATTTGCCCGAAGTAGCCCGTGAGTCCGTGAGATGTCCTGCTCCCATCTGGAGAGGAGGAGACACGCACAGCCGTCTCCACCACAAGCCGGATTCCAGACACTGATCCTGCCACCACCACCCCAGTCTTCTGTCTGTCCCTCTCAGCATGGCAGTCATGTACCCTGGCACAATTTCTGTGAAAATCCCCTAAACCAAGCTTGTCTAACCTGTGACCCACAGGCCGCATGCAGCCCAGGATGGCTTTGAATGCAGCTGAACACACATTTGTAAACTTTCCTAAAACATGAATTTTTTCGCATTTATTTTTTCTTATCGGCTTTCATTAGTGTTAGTGTATTTTGAGTGTGACCCAAGACAATTCTTCTTCTTCCAATGTGGCCAGGGAAGCCAAAAGATTGGACACCCCTGCCCTAACCCCACAAGGTACCAGGGCACCCCGTACTTAGTGCCTTCTAATGCCTATGGCCCACGTGGTACTTTGGGGCTGTTTACTTGCCAGCCTCACACTCTGAACTGTGAATTCTTTGTGGACAGGGTTTTTCTTTCGCTTGAATTGCATGATGTAGGGCTCCCCATAGGGCCTGGCACCTCACAGATGCTGACTATATATTTGTTGAAGGCTTGGATCCAGGTTCTCTGACCTCCCAGAGCAGGGCCCTTGCCTTTATGCCAGGAACCTGCAAAACAGTGCCCTTTTATTGCAGATAGTGCTTTCTTTCTCCTGGGTGGTTTCGTAGGCAAAGAGATATATTGTCTGTTTTAGAGCTTTAGCCTTGCCTCAGTAGAGATAAAAACTCCACTATGACTCTGCTGTGGCTACGGGCAGCTTAGAGAATGTTGGAACTTCAGGCAGAGGGCTCCGGGCAGCTGAATGTTACATGGTGTTCACATACTACATACTACATGCTACATATTCCATGCTACTACTTAAATAACTTAAAAATGTTATTCTAGGTCGGGCATGGTGGCTCACGCCTGTAATGCCAGCATTTTGGGAGGCCAAGGCAGGCGGATCACCTGAGGTCAGGAGTTCGAGACCAGCCTGGACAACATGATGAAACCCCGTCTCTACTAAAAATACAAAATTACCTAGGAGTGGTGGAGGGCTCCTGTAATCCCAGCTACCTGGGAGGCTGAGGCAGGAGAATCGCTTGAACCTGGGAGGCGGAGGTTGCAGTGAGCCGAGACGGTGCCATTGCACTCCAGCCTGGGCAACAAGAGTGAAACTCTGTCTCAAAAAAAAAAATGTTATTCTACTTGGTAGGACACTGGAAATCGTCTGATATTTTCTGGCATTCTGGCATTTTATCTATGTCAGCTACTTATCCTAAATTATGATGTCAATGGAATAATTTTTGATGAAATTTATTTATTTTTTTATGAGACAGCGTCTTGCTCTGTCACTGAGACTGGAGTGCAGTGGCACAATCTTGGCTCACTGCGACCTCCGCCTCTCAGGTTCAAGCAATTCTCCTGCCTCAGCCTCCTGAGTAGCTGGGACTACAGGCATGCACCACCACGCCCAGCTAATATTTGTATTTTTAGTAGAGATGGGGTTTCACCATGTTGGCCAGGATGATCTCAATCTCTTGAACTCGTGATCCACCCTCCTCGGTCTCCCAAAGTGCTGGGATTACAGGCGTGAGCCACCACAACCGGCTGGTGAAATGTATTATTAAAGTGGCTTCTTATCCTTCCTAGTTTTTAAATGTCTCTGTGTAGTATTTTACTGTGTTTAGGTTCCTCAAAACATTTTAGAACCTGACAATTCCTCCGCAATTATCTAAGCTTCCTGTATGCAGGAGGAAACTGAGGCACGGGACGCTTCAGGGTCGGCTGTGTCTGTGCCCACTGGCCCAGCCCGCCTGCTGTCTGTTCTGCCTCCTGCCTCTGCTCTCCCCAGCACCGACACTGCTGGCCATGTGTCAGTCAACCTGGGACTCTGCGTTCTAATTATTGCAAATTAGTAATCTACATGGAATGCCACGCCTAACTATATCAATGTTATCAATGTGTTCTATGTGTAATTATTAAGAACGTCTCATTTTTTCCTTCCTCCCTCCCTCCCTCCCTCCCTCCCTCCCTCCCTCCCTCCCTCCCTCCCTTCCTTCCTTCCTTCCTTCCTTCCTTCCTCCCTCCCTTCCTCCCTCCCTCCCTTTTTGAGACTGGGTCTCTCTCTGTCACCCAGCCTGGAGTGCAATGGCTTGATCATAACTCACTGTAACCTCGAGCTCTTGGGCTCAAGTGATTCTCCCACCTTGGTCTCCCAAGTAGCTGGGACTACAAGTGTGCACTGCCACACTGGGCTAATATTTTTTACTTTGTCGTGGAGACAGAGTCTCGCCATGTTACCCATCCTGCTGGGCTCAAGGGAGCCTCTCGTCTCGGCCTCCTAAAGTGCTGGGTTTACAGGCATGAGGCACCACACTCAGCCGGAATATGTTATTTTCCGTCTGGCTTAGGTAAGACAGTAATTACTTATTTTGCTGTTTGTTTTTTCAGGGCTGTAGTACTGGGCTACCTTTATTCCAAAAACAATAAAAAGGCAACTATGACAATACAGCAATCCATGGCTTATTCTCTTCAATGTAACTGACTGTGAATGAGTCTCCACCACATTCAATGCGCTGTGATGGCTCCTTAGAGCTACAGAAGTGGCTGGAAGGGGATTTTATTGTTGACAAAGCGGCTAATCAGCTCTCTTTGCCCTTCCCCACGGTACTACCATTCAGCTCATGGCATGAAGCTAATTTTTCCAAAACAAAATGAAAGATACCACCTAAAAGTGAGAGGACGTATTGTAGTAGAGGAAGGGCTGGCTGGGCACCTATCATCTATGCCCCCCAGCCTGGAGGGGTGTTTAAGGTTTGAAACGTGCCACACTCATGGAATACTGCACTTGCAGCCGGTTCACCGAAGCCAAGTTTTCCCACTTGTCCTTGAAGTTAAAATTCAATGAAAGCATTCTCGTTGTATCAGAGTCACATTTTCTTTTTTCTTTTCTTTTATATATATATATTATATATATATATAAAATATATATATATTTTATTATTATACTTTAAGTTCTAGGGTACATGTGCACAACGTGCAGATTTGTTACATATGTATACATGTGCCATGTTGGTGTGCTGCACCCATTAACTCGTCATTTACATTAGGTATTTCTCCTAATGCTCTCCCTCCCCCATCTCCCCACCCCACAACAGGCCCTGGTGTGTGATGTTCCCCTTCCTGTGTCCAAGTGTTCTCATTGTTCAATTCCCACATGGATGAAGCTGGAAACCATCATTCTCAGCAAACTATCGCAAGGACAAAAAACCAGAGTCACATTTTCAGTGGGGAGCCAGCTTAGCCAGGTGACGTCTGACGTCACCGAATAATCAAAATGGTGACAATTGCATTTAGCTGGTCACAGAGATAGATCCCTAAGGTTATGTCAATACCACTCCATGTTCTCAAAGCCCCCAAGAGGCAAGAATCTAAGTGAAATAAACCAGCAAGTCCTTGTCTGGACTTGCAGGAGAGAACTGAGGGGCTGCCTGAGGCTCTGTGTTCAGCGCCTCACCTCGGATGATCTTAGGATGGTGAGGGTCAGTGACACTGCAAGCCATGAGTCCTTTGGCAGTGGGTCCGTGGCCCTGCTGAATGGCAGGCGCATGGCCACCTTCCTGAAGATTGCAAATTGGAAACAGGGCGAGTCTCCACGATAACATCTAGGTTACAGCATTGTAAAATGTCCCCAATTATCTTGACAAATGGAAGTTGGTGTGAATGACTTATGAGGACACGATATTTTTGTAGAGAAGGGAGAGTTCCAGCAATAGGAACGAGCTGTGCCTTGCTCTTGGGAAACCCCACCCTGTTTTGGGGGCCTTAGGTTGCTATGAAATGGCAGGGTTTGATTGCTGTTGATAGCAGGAAAGTCTGACCCATGACTAAGGGAATAAAGTAGAGAAAACGCAATAAGCAGCCATCCCAGAAAACCAGTGCTCATAAAAGTGCTTGTTACTGGACACTGATTTTGGCTTCACATTGACTACAAGTGGACCTAAACCAGTCAGTAAAATGGTGTTAGCTGCTTTGTTGTTTCATGTATTTATTCGATACATATTTATTGAATGCATATTGTGTGAAGCGTTGTTCTAAACTCTGGCTATAACAAAGTAGAAAAAGGAAAATCCCTGATCTCACTGAGTTTGCTAAATAAATATAAATTCATTTTGACCTTTGCATATTTCTATGTGAGTCTAGCAAGTGGTCCTGGGATGGAATGAAGTACAACATGGATATGGCACATCAGTTTATATCCTGCAGACTCAAGGATTAGAGAACTCTCTAAAATATATCCGGAGTACCACTGAAAGCTACACATCTGTTTTTTTGGTAAATTCAAATCAAGTTACAATACTCTTTATACAATGTGATCTCATTTTGCTAACCTATATATACACAGAGGGGAAAAAAAGCACCCAAAGGCTGTACACTTAAATTTTTAAAGCTGCCATGGGATAATGGGGACATTTTATTTTTCTCTTTGGGTTTGTCTCTGTTTTCCAAGTTTAATATGCTGAATGGGCTTTGCTTTTAACCAGAAAACACTCTTTAAAGACTGTAGTTTTTGCTTATTAATTAAAAATGGTATTTAGCATTTGCAAATAATTTCAGGATTATTACTTATTCCTTGCCAGTTCCCTCAAATATTAGATAAGTAAGGTGACCCTGATTTGCTGGTTCATGTACTAGAACCATGAACAGAACTGGAATTCACAAGCTTAAAAATTTTAGGCTGCCCACGTGATTCATTCAACTGCATTCTTCCCATATGAGCAAAATGAATGCTAACTCCCTTCTGTGGGTTTGGCCTCTTGCAAAAGCAGGGCACTGTGCAAGGGTTGGGGTTTAAGTCATTTATTTGGGAAGTGATCCTGACAAGTACAGTGAAGGAGTGGGAAGGAAGGTGGGAAGGAAAGCAAGGAAGAGAGGGTTTCCACTCTGAGCCACTGGGCGCAGTCCTGCTGTGGAGCAAATATGCAGAGAGTATCTGACAATTGTCTCCCCGCAGCAGGGAAGCTGAGACATTATATATCCACCAACCTCCGTCCCTTGTTGGTTGGGGGCTGCTCCTATTAATTCCTTAGCATTTCCTGCATGTCCCATGTGCAGGATAAGCAATCTGCTGTGGTCAGAGAAAGACCTATGGTATATAAGAATTTGACATCATAATAGAAATAGGCATCTATCCAAAGCCTCATTTATTTCAGAAAAAAAGAAAAAAAAAAAACAACACGGAGTGATGATTGCCTATCAGGTACATGAAACCGTGAACCATGACCATGTTAAATGGAGAACCCTACCACAGGGAGAGACCCAGTCCTTGAGAAGGGCCTTCAGCCGCACACTGAAGCTGCAGGAGACCTGTCAGGCGAACTAAGGAGACACGAGTTAGAGACGCTGCTGTAACAAATACGTCTAAAGGCTGGGTGAAGTGGCTCACACCTGTAATGCCAGTGCTTTGGGAGACCGAGGTGAGCCGATCACTTGAGGTCAGGAGTTTGAGTCCAGTTGGCCAACATGGTGAAACCCCATCTCTACTAAAAATACAAAGATTAGCCTGGTGTGGTGGCAGGCGCCTGTAATCCCAGCTTCTCAGGAGGCTGAGGCAGAAGAATCACTTGAACCCGGGAGGCAGAGGTTGCAGTGAGCTGAGGTCGTGCCACTGTACTGCAGCCTGTGCAACAGAGCGAGACTCTGTCTCACAACAAAACAAACCTCTAAAGTTGCAGTGGCTTAACATCATCACAGTTTCTTTTTTGCTCTTATAAACTGTTTTTCAGGTCACGCAATTTTGCAAGACAGCTCTTCCTCAAATTTTGTCTGTGTTCTCCTATCTCAGGGCCCTCTGCTTCTTAGTCAGACAGGGAAAAGAGGTTGTGGAAGGATTTGGGTTTAAGTCATTTAAAGGATGGGGACACAGTGTGGGATATTGTGTGGCCCAGCCAGTAGTGAGGATGCCACGTAGACACATATTCCATTTCCCAAAGCTGATTCATGAGTCTGCAACTAACTGCACAGGAAGTCTGGCCTTCCCACATGCTCAGGGAGAGAAGGAAGTTGGGGATCCTGTAGCAGTACTCTGAGGGGCTCCCTGTTTCCTTGTCTGAATGCATGGAAGCTCTGGGAACATCTGGTACTTACTGGATACTATATTGTTTAGCAAATGAGTTTGAGGCCGGGCGCGGTGGCTCACGCCTGTAATCCCAGCACTTTGGGAGGCCGAGGTAGGCGGATCATGAGGTCAGGAGATCGAGACTATCGTGGCTAACATGGTGAAACCCCCCTCTACTAAAAATACAAAAAAATAGCCGGGCATGGTGGTGGGTGCCTATAGTCTCAGCTACTTGGGATGCTGAGGCAGGAGAATCGCTTGAACTCAGAGGCAGAGGTTGCTGTGAGCCGAGATAGCACCACTGCACTCCAGCCTGGGCGACAGAGCAAGGCTCCATCTCAAAAAAAAAAAAAAAAAAAAGTAAATAAATAAAAAGAGAGTTTGAGTTTTTTATGTAGCCGACTTCAGGTGCAAATGGTTCATATTGAGGCACACAGAAGAGACACCATGGTACACAGCAGCACTTGCTTCCGGCTGAGAATCAGAACAACCAAGACCAAATTCTGGACCCGCTCTCAACCGAATATGTGATTAGGCACACGATAGCCTCTTGATCTGAAAAATACTAAAGTCTCTTTTATCAGAGCCCACAATTGTTAAATATTTTTAAAAGAATATATATTTTTACATGTATATATACATACACAACATGCATGGCAGCGTAAGAAGCTACACGCATATAACAAGGCCAGGTGCAGTTAGAAATGGAACTAGGATGTGCACTTCTGAGCATTCTGTTGTCTTGTTGAACTCCTCTTTCTGTCTATCAATCTTTCCATTATCTTTCTCCCGCCTCGGAAAAGCAGTGCATTAGCGCCGTGGATCTCTGGCTGGCCAGGCAGGTGTGTGTCGTCAGGGGTGAGTGGGTGCTGGCAGCAGCTGTGGGTGAAATCCCATTCTAGGTAGACTGGGGTAGAGGAAACAACACAGGTCTTGTTGTGAAATCCAAAGAAATCGCAGTCCTGTAGTCAATCTTGTCTCACCCGCAGGCCATAAGCGTTTCTGAGTTCTACTCTTTCTAGGGCGAGAGGGGCTTTTGGCTGTTTAGTAGACACCGGAGACCAGTAAAGCGCATACCGATTAGAAGGCTGCATTTTCTAGCTAACAAAACAGCACACGGGGCCAAAGAACAGGGAAGTCTTGTTTCAGCAAGGTTGGCACAGTCAAAGAAGTAGAGTGAAGGACCATGATTTCAGGAAACTCAGCTGAAAGAATTGGAGATTGTTATAGAAACTGCTATCCATCCACAGCCTTATTTATTTCAGAAAAAAAGACTGGATGATGGTTTCCTATCAGGTACATAAAACAAAGGCCATGTTAAATGGTTTCGGTGACTTTTTTTATTCTTCCTTTACGTATTCATTTTTCTGAGATGTGCTGATTTACTGGTCACAGATCAGAATTTATGTTAGACATGGGGTCACCTCTCCTGGCTGCTTCTATCTGGTCAGAGGAAGCCTATTAGGTCCAGCCAGCCCTCAAGAAGGGCTGCCATGTGTTCACCTGGATTGTTCTGAGAAACTGTTGATAAAACAATGACCCATTGGACTCCTATCTCCAGAGACACTGTTTTCTGAATTAAAGCAATAATAGTGGAAACTAAGTTTCTATCTTTTAGGCATCGCAAATGACTGAAATATGCAATGATTTCCCATAACTAAACAAGAGGTCATGAGCTCCAATGAGGAATAAAAAGCTGAGATAGATGTAGCATGTGCTAAGTGCTCTTCTAGACATTTTACATACGTCAACTCATTATTTCTCCCAACTGCACTACAGGTAGGCACTATTATCGTTCCCATTTCATAGAAATGTAAACAGGTGAGACCAGGTAATTTTCCTGGAGGAACTACTTGATCTTCCTATATTAATAAATTGCCATTTCATGTTATTGCGTTGAAAAGAGCACTACCTAAAACAGAATGATGATTTTTTTTTTCACCAAAGCATTGAAAAGTTTGGAGTCATGAAATTTGATCAAAAGTATACAGAGACTCTAGTCAGATCACACTGGTTGATATACGGGAAGACTTTTTGTTTACTCTTTTAATCAACAAATATAATAATTATCTACCCTGTACTGGCATCTGAGCTGCAAGGATGAATATGCTTCAAGGAGCTGTTAGGCAGTGGGGAAAAAGAAGATCTGCAAATGTACCCTTATGGCTGGGTGTGGTGGCTCACACACCTGTTACCCCTGCACCCTGCATTTTGGGAGGCTAGTGGGGAAGATCGCCTGAGCCCAGGAGTTTGAGACCAGCCTGGGCAACATAGTGAGACTTCATCTCTATTATTTATTTACCGTGAAATAGAATAAAAGCTACACATAAAATATGTGGAAGTAGGGAAGGGCAAAGTGGAAGATTGATAGTAATAGCTGGGACTTATCACTTCTTCTGGGTTAATCCTTTCAACCCTTACAAAACCTCTATGATGCAGGTACTATGATTATCCCAACTTAAGACACAAGGAAACTGAGGTAGCGAGAGGTTCAATAGTAGGTCCAGGGCTCCCGGGAGAGGCAATCCACCGTGGCCCTGAGTGTCTCTTCCTCATCCTGCAGGTGTGCGTGCCTGATGGCCCTTTATCTGGGCTGTGTCTTGGGGCGGCAGCAAGCAGCCTTGAAGGATGAGGTAGCATTTTTCCTTCTGGACAAAGAGAAGCCTTTTTTTCACCTTAAAAAAATTTATTTTTATAGATTTGGGGATACATGTGCTGGTTTGTTACATGGATTTATTACATAATGCAAGATTTGAGTTTCTAGTGTACCCATCACCCAAATAGTGAACATTATACCCAATAGGTAATTTTTCAACCCTCATCCCCCCATCCTGCCCTCCACTCTTTTGGGTTCCTCAATGTCAATTATTTACCTCTGTGTATTCATGTGTACCCCTTGTTTTCCTCCTACTTGTAAGCGATAACATTCAATATTTGACTTTCTGATTCTGAGTTATTTCAATTAGAACAATGGCCTTCAACTCCATCCATATTGCTTCGAAAGACATGATCTTAATCTTTTTTATGGCTGCATAGTATTCCATGGTGTATATGTTTCACATTTTCTTTTTTTTTTTTTTAACTTTTAAGTTCGGGGTACATGTGCAGGTTTGTTACATTGGCAAACTTGTGCTATGGGAGTTTGTTGTACAGATTATTTCATTAAGTCTAGTACCCATTAGTTATTTTTCCTGATCCTCTCCCTCCTCCAGCCTTCCACTCTCCAATAGGCCTCAATGTCTGTTGTTACCTCTTTGTGTCCACGTATTCTCATCTCTTAGCTCCTGCTTATAAGTCAGAACATGCAGTATTTAATTTTCTGTTCCTGCATTAGTTTGCTAAGGATAATGGCCTCCAGCTACAGCCATGTCCCTGCAAAGGACATGATCTCATTATTCTTTATGGCTGCATAGTGTTCCGTAGTGTGAATTATACCACATTTTCTTTATCCAGTCTATTATTGATGGGCATTTATAATTCATTCATTCATCCATGGACTTAGGTTGATTCCACATCTTTGCTATTGTGAATAGTACTGCGATACACATATGAGAGGAAGTGTCTTTTTGATACAACAATTTGTTTTCCTTTGGGTAGATACCCAGGGGTGAGATTGCCAGGTTGAATGATAATTCTGTTTTCAGTTCTTTGAGAAATCTCCGCACTGTTTTCCACAGAGGTTGTACTAATTTGGATTCCCACCAACAGTGTATGAGTGTTCCCCTTTCTCCGCAGGGAAGGCTTTGTATTCCACTTATTATAAAAGCGGTGATTTCCCAAGCTCAGGCTCAGGGTTCCTCTCCTGTAAGGTGACTGACTTTGTGCGCAGGCATCCACGAGGAGCCGTCTACATCACCACCATAAGACTTGGGGGCACAGGGAACCAGCAACCGTGCAGCTCTGTCTACTGCTTTCGTCGTGATTCACAAAGTCCTTTGTCTCTGACCCAGGAGTTCCAAGTCTTCTGCCAGCCCCTGTGAAACAGCAACAGTGAACTAGATAGCTTGTATGTGACATAAAATCTCAATCTCTGCACAGTTCTTGACAAGGTGACATAGCCAGTAAGTGGTGGGAACTGACTTTGAACCTGGACAGTTTGGCTTAGAAACCCACCATCTTAAACACTACTAATAAGGCATCAAAGATAGGCAACAAACTTCCTGGCAGAGTAAAGGCAGATTTTTAAAGGCAATGGGGTGTTTGGAGGGAATTTTGAAGCATGAATGGGGATTTAACAGAAGAATAAGGGAGAAAGGACATTCTAGGTAGAGGGAGTGAGGTGGACAAAGGCTGGAAGCCAGGAAGCACACAGATGTTCTGGACACTGCACGAAGGGAGTCGTAAGACTGCAGTGCCCAGCAGAATTTTGCTGGCTTCTGGGGTGAGAGATGAGGTTGGAGAGACAGGCAGAGGCCAGAAAATAAGATGGGTGCGTGCGCCCAATTAGTTTGTAGAAAGGCTTTTAAGAATTATATTATAGTCAAGTGGCTGGGTGCAGTGGCTCACACCTGTAATCCCAGCACTTTGGGAGGCTGAGGCAGGTGGATCACTTGAGGTCAGGAGATCAAGACCAGCCTGGTCAACATGGCGAAACCCCATCTCTACTAAAAATACAAAAATTAGCCAGGTATGATGGCAGGCGCCTGTAATCCCAACTACTTGGGAGGCTGAGGCAGGAGAATCGCTCCAACCCAAAAGGCAGAGATGGGTTCAAGCCATTCTACAGCCTGGGCGACAGAGTGAGTCTCTGTTTCATTAAAAACAAACAAACAAAAAATATAGGCAAGAAAGTGACACTATCAGATTTGTGTTTTTGAAAGATCCCTTGGGAATGTTGTGCAAGACGGATTGGAGAAGTCAGGGAGATCAAGTTAGAAGCAAGTGAAGTGATCAAGTAAGATGTAATGAGGGCCTGAACTTTGTAGCATGTACAGTTTAAATGCTGATATTTTAATTTAATGCATAATGATAGCAGTAATTAGCTTGCAATTACTCCAGCCGGAGACGTTGTATTTTTAATTCCCAAATCTTGATCTTTCTACTTTATACAAGAAATAGGAGAAGGTCAACTGAGTAAAGGGATCTTATTTCTTTCAATTTAGACAGGAGAGACGAATGAGGAGAAGCTGGGTCTCTGCCACCCTAAGACTGAAGTAAGCACACATGACACTAAGAAAGAGACTCTATCTTTCTTCATTATGGCAAAGAAGAATGGAAAATGCTCACAGGAATTCCCATCCAAAGCAGAGATTCTCGATCATTTCTGAGCTCAGCCTTCTTGGACAGAGTATCATATCCCATAAGCACACATAAGTTGCTTTTTCTTCTTCTCTCTTTTTTTTTTTTTTGATGGAGTTTCGCTTTTTTGCTTTTGTTGCCCAGGCTGGAGTGCAATGGCGTGATCTCGGCTCACTGCAACCTCCAGCTCCAGGGTTCAAGCGATTCTCCTGCCTCAGCCTCCCGTGTAGCTGGGATTACAGGCATGTGCCACCACATCCGGCTAATTCTTTGTATTTTTAATAGAGACAGGGTTTCTCCATGTTGGTGAGGCTGGTCTTGAACTCCTGACCTCAGGTGATCCGCCCACCTCGGTCTCCCAAAGTGCTGGGATTACAGGCATTCTTCTTCTCCTTTTTAAGGAAAAACTCTACTAACAACAAGAATCATTGTGGACACAAGCTTAGGGGTATTGGCGATGGTGGTGAAGACGGCGACTTTATCCGCTTTGGTAAGGAGATGCAGGTATCTATTCTTGGTTCCCAGTGTTCACAGTCTTTAAGTTTAGTTATTGGAAATTACAGTTCAAAGTATTGTTGGTGAAGATATGCTTCACTACATATGGTAGGCTTAGCAAAACAATCCACAATAAATAAAATTAATGATAATGAAACTAAACAAACTGTGATTTGTTAAAAAGCAATGATACAGCCACTGGAAAACTTAACTTGGGCAGGATGCCCTAAATTGCCTAACATCTATTAACTCTTCCTCCTTCCTAACAGAACCCAGAGTTTATTGAGAAATATATTCTCCTCTATACAACCAAGCCTCTTAGGAGAGGCTAGCCTATCCCTAGCTCCAGGTGGTAGATTCTAGTTTGCCTGAATAATCCAATTCTCCTTGATGGTGATTGGCTTAGGAATGGGCAGGTGACAAAAGCTCTTCTTCTGAACATCGCAGTCTCTAAACATAATGCCTGGAAGTGCCTTATCTATCTTGCAACCTTGAGAGATGCCAGCCTTAGGATAAAGCTGGTGCAGAGAGGAGAAAGGGCCAAGAGGGACCCAGAGAAGCAGAGCTACCGTAACCTTGGACTTAAGTATTGTGTATGTGAAAAGAAGGTTTAAAAGCCAAAGGATGGGTGCCCATCTTTAGACCAGCTCTTGGCAGAGGGTAGAGTCTAAACAACATTTTAAAAAGCATTGCCCTGAGGCCAGGCATGGTGACTCACACCTATAATCCCAGCACTTTGGGAGGCTGAGATGAGTGCATCACCTGAGTTCAGGAGCTCAAGACCAGCCTGGCCAACATGGTGAAACACCATCTCCACTAAAAGTACAAAAATTAGTCAGGTGTGGTGGTGGATGCCTGTTATCCCAGCTACTTGGGAGGCTGAGGCAGAAGAATCACTTGAACCTGGGAGATGGAGGTTGCAGTGAGCCAAGATTGCACCACTGCACTCCAGCCTGAGTGACAGAGTGAAACTGTCTCAAAACAAAAAACAAAAAACAAAAAAAAGCATTGCCTTGAAAATAACTGGTAACACCCCACCCCTGCAGAGTGGCTGGTGGGCAGTGTTTCCTACAGTAAGTATTCCCAGTAATAGATACACTGCTATTTGTTGAACACAAGCTATAGAAAAAACACACTGCTAAATGATGACTACCAGGGGACAGGTTATTATAATTATGGCAATTTAGAAAAGATTCTCATAAACTTACCTTGGCTTAAAATGCAGAAAACAGTGAAAAGCCCTTTACTGTCCTTTTCTCAATTCCTTTATGTTGACTTTCACCCAGGACACCTGTCTACACTCCACGTTAAAAATTTGGACTATCTCATCAAAGCCAACAATCTGTTCTCCTTGAATTTTTACCAACCAGTGAGTGATATTTCATTCTCTCTTTGCATTATCACCAGAGAGAATTTGTGAAAATTTACATAATTTGAATTGAAAGACAGCTAGTCCTCATGTGCAATGAGGAAACAGTTGCCTGGAGGTCTGGGACCCTGGGAAAACATCCAGTGCTCTTTTCCTCTGTTAAACTTTCTTCTTCTCTCTTTTTAATATTAAATGTTTGTGAAATGTCCCAAAATCTTACGTGAGAAGCCATCCTGTCAAAAGGAATTATATTGTCAGTTCTTTCTGGTTGCAAGGCATAGAGACTTTATCTGATTTCAGGTGACGACTTGTCATTTAAAAGAAAAAGAACAGAAAATAGAGGAATCAAGAAAGTATATCAGCAACTAAGCAGCCACTACTCAAGAGAAGAAAGAACAATGGCTTCTTATCAGTCAGAACACAGCACCAGCATTAACGATCCATCAGGAACTCTGGGGACCAGACATCTTTTTGTGCCCTCAGAATTGGACATCTGTCACTCCCTATGTATGACTGCCACACTGTGACTTTGTTTCTTTTATATCTGGTTTGCCCATCTGCTGCCTCTGAAAGATGGTTTCACTATACACTAGTTCCCCCTTATCTGTGGGGGATACATTCCAAGACCCCCAGTGGATGCCTGAAACCACAGATAGTACTGAACCCTACATACATTCTGTTGGTTTTTTTTTTAATCCGGTAACCAAGAGAGCTACTTTGTCACTGGCAGGCAGGTATCATAGACTGTGAATATGCTAGACAAAAGGATGACTCACATCCCAGGCGGGAAGCAGCAGGACAGTGTGGGATTTCATTCTACTACTCAGAACAGCACATAATTTAAAATCTATGTATTGTTTATTTCTGGAATTTTCCATTTTATATTTTCAGACTGCAGTGGTCATGGGTAACTGACACCTTGGAAAGCAAAACCGTGGATAAAGGGAGAATACTGTATATAGAATTCTAGGTTGATAGTGTTTATTTTCTCTTAGCACTTTAAAGTTATCATTTCATTGTCTTCTGACTTGCATCATTTCTGATGGAATGTCAGTCGTCAGTCTCATTATTGACACCACATTCTTTGATTGTTTTTACTCTTTTTTCAAACTCTGACTTAATTGGATAATTTCTATTGACCTGTGTTTAGGTTTGCTAATGCTTTCTTTTGAAAATTCAAACTGCTGTTAATGTCATCCAGTGAATGTTTTATCACAGACATTGCATTTTATCATCCTAGAGTTTCCATTTTGTCTTTTTTTAGAGTTCTCTTTTCTCTTCTGACATACCCCTATCTCTTACCCATTAGATCCACATTTTCCTATAAATTTGTTTAAAATGTGTATGATAATTGCTTAAATATTCTTGCTGCTAGTTCCAATAACTGGGTTTAACTATGGACCTGCTTCTATTGACTATGCGTTCTTTTGGTTATTGGTGAGTATGTCTTGTATCTCTGCATGCCTCAATTTTTTTATTGTATCTAAGATATGCATATAAAAATACAATGAAGATTGAAGTAAATAATGTTTTGATGTTTTTGCCCCAGAGAATACAAGCTCTTTCCCTCTGTCTAACAAGGAGAAGGGCTAATTATTCAGATTCCTTTTAGAGTCAAATTGGCTGAATTTTTAATTAAATTGAGATTTCCTATGCTTAGACCAACCCTCACTCTCATACTACTGCTATCTTTTAGATATTATCAATATTTGAGTAGATGAGCTTCCGTTTTAGCTATTTTTAACTTACTTTGGATTCCCAGTTACATGAGAGGCTGAGGTTGGAGGATCACTTGAGCCCAGGAGGTTGAGGCTACAGTGAGCTGTGATTGTGCCACTGCACTCCAGCCCGGGCAACAGAATGAGACCCTGTCCTCCAAAAAAAAGGTCAAGGACCATGTGATTTTCATAAATAAAAAGAGGAGGTTATTACTATGTTATGGAATAGGACATTTAGCAAAGTTTATTACTCACTGATTTGTATTCATGGCAGACCACATCACATTCCCTTTGAATATTCTTGGAATCCAAGCACTGTGGAAGTACATGGGTCTTTGTAGTTTTGCCCTGCATCTTTGCCCTTTCTTCATGGATACTTTTTTGTCAGTTTGAGGTGGTGGTGGTGATGTGAAAGTGATTGGCCTAATTTGTTTTTGCAGTTGGGATACTCCTATATTGCAATCCATGCATCCAGGCTGCACTATCATGTATAGCTCAGCTGATTTTTTCTCCTCCTTCCAAATTTCTGTCTAGGCCAAACTTGCCATGCCTAGGTCAGAAACTGTTGTTGGAAATGGAAGCTGTCCTGGCTTTCTCTTTGCCAATGAAGGACTCATTTTTCCAAAATTCAGTTCATTAAGTCTTCTTTTGACTCCTGATCTTTGTTAGCCCCATGGGAAAGTATGATTTTTATTTTCTCTGAGTTTTTCTTGACATTACCATGGGAACAAAATGCTTTCATGCTCTTATGAAGTGAAAGTCTGAACCAAACATTTAAACTTAAAAAAAAAAAAAACCCACATAAAATCACTAGAAGAAAATATGGGAGATTTAAAAAAAAATCTTGGGACAAAAAAAGTCATTTCAGAGCAATACACAAACCTCAGAAGCTATAAAAAAATTAATCAACCTCTATCTTTTTCTCCCTTTCTCTCTCTCTGTATATATATGTTATATATATATCTATATATATATTTATCTTAAATTTGGCGAGGCACGGTGACTCATACCTGTAATCCCAGCACTTTGGGAGGCCAAAGTGGGTGGATCACTTGAGGTCAAGAGTTTGAGACCAGCCTGGCCAACATGATAAAAATACAAAAATTAGCTGGGCATGGTGACATACACCTGTAGTCCCAGTTACTCTGGAAGCTGAGGCAGGAGAATCGCTTGAACCAGAAGGTGGAGGTTGCAGTGAGCCGAGATTGTGCCACTGCACTCTAGCCTCGGCAACACAGTGAGACCCCATTTCAAAAATAAATAAATAAATAAATGAATAAAATATATATATATTAAACTTGAATATGGTAAAACATAATAAAGCCATATGACAAACTGAGAAAAAAATTTGCAATGCAAAAGATAAAGATTATCTTATAAAACCTATTAAGAGATTTTTATAAATAATAAAAAACAAATGGACAAAGGCAGGTAGGTAACATAAAAATCATTATATACAGAGTTCCAAGATGAAAAGATGCTCTAACATGCTGACAATTAAGAACTACAAATGGAACTGAGACACGGTTTTTTTACCAATCACCTTGACAAAGTTAGGTGCTAGCAAGGGCATGAGAAACCAACACTCAAGTGCACGGTAGATGAGAGTGTAAATTAGCACAGCATCCTTGCAAGTGTTTGTTTCGTGTTAAGATAGAGTGTTATTTGGTGATATCTAACGAAATTAGAAAATGAATACGCCCTTTGATCCAGCAATTTCAGTTTTAGGAATTTATTCTGCAGATATGCTGAAAATGCGCATAAAGACGTATGTAAAAGCAAAGCCATTGCTGCATTGTTTGCCACAGCAAGAACAGTAACTGAAAATAACTCGAATATCCATAATCGAGGCTGGTTCAAAATGTATAGCACGTCATTCCAGTGGAGTGCTCCAGAACTGGAAGGAAACGAATAGAGCTGTGTGTGCTGATACAGAGAGATTGTCGAGGTGTATCACCAGGCATACAAATCAAGACATAGAATAATGTGATTTCTGTGTCCCCATTTGTATTGTGTGTCCGCAGGGACAGTATCTGGAAGGTACACCAGGAACTGCTGAGGAGTGGAACTAGGACTCTGAGACAAAAGGGGTTTGCTTTTCATTTTAAACTGTATTATTATTTGAATTTTTTAAAAATCAAGGACTGTTCAGGTGCAATGGCTCATGCCTGTAATCTTAGCACTTTGGGAGGCTGAGGTGGGTGGATCACTTGAGCCCAGGAGTTTGAGACCAGCCTGGACAACATGGTAAGACCCTGTCTCTACAAGACAAAAAAAAAAAAAAATGCCGAGCGTGATGGTGTGTACGTGTGGTCACATTTACTCAAGAGGCTGAGATGGGAGGATCACTTGAGCCCAGGAGGTTGAGGCTACAGTGAACTGGGATTGTGCCACTGCACTCCAGCCTGGATGAGAGAGTGAGACTCTGTCCTCCAAAAAGAAGTCAAGGACCATGTGATTTTCCTAAATAGAGGGAGTAGGTTATCACTACGTTACGGAATAGGACATTTAGCAATGTTTATTACTTACTGACTTATATTCATGGCAGACCACATCACATTCTTTTTGAATATTCATATTGAGCCTGTTATGAAGCATTTCACATAGGAAAAGCAATGTGTGAATCAATGAGGAAATGAAACTATGTATTTATTGACGGTATTTGTGAGATATGCAAGTGTGCAGAGTCTTCTGATAACCTCAGAATGCTGATACATTTAGCAAACCTCATTCTTAAAGTTGGCCAGATAATGACTTATTTTGCTGAAGTCTCCAAAAAAGCTGAGTTGTGAAGCCTTTGAAAAAGTATCAATGAACTTTTTCTTTCAGGTGGGGCTGAGCTGTTGTTCTAGAAGAAAAAAGGATGTCTTGTCCTGTGTGAACTGGAACAGCGCTTAGAAATCGAGGAGCGTGGCCCTGGGAACAGAGGCTGTGTGCTGTTGTTTTTGCTTCCTCATTAATGAGCATGGGCCTTCAGTGAGCTCCTTTCCCTTGCTGGCCTTCATTTGTAAAATGTTGGCTGACGGCTAAGGGTGTTTATTCCTCTAAAATCACCTAATTAGAAGAGAAGAAAGGAAAATACAAAACAAAATTAAATATAAGCAGCATGTTCCACATTTTAGACTTACTTAGATTCTTATCTCTCTGCAATAATCCTAATGCTAATTCACTTTCTCAGAGGTGTCCAGCGCAGGATGGGCTTAGATCATCCGTGGAATTGCTTGTTCTATAAGCTTTAGTTACTTTGATGACTGGAAGTATGTAAGTTCAGAGACATGCATTAAATACATGTTTCTGGTTTTCCCCAAATGACCCATGGACAGATAGGTGCCTGTATTTATTTTGTGTCAAATTTCATCTTATTCATTTAGTTGGAGACATAGTTATCTGATGGGTTCTCTGGGGTAATCATTTAGAACTCCTGAACTTTAGCAAGAAGCTGTAAGAAAGTCCAAGTTCTTTTTCTTAAAACTTCAAATAAGGTTCCCCAGTGAGTCTGGGGAAGGCCATGACATTGTCAGAAAAGCTGTTCCGTATCTGTGCCTCCGAGGTTCCTGCACGGCACTGCTGAATGGCCAATTTGCTGCGAATACGCATCGATCGTCTGATGCACGGCGCTCTGCACTGAGGACACCGTGAAGATGAACCGTGGTTCATTCCAGGGGTTAGCTGAGTTCTGAAACTGGAAAGTGAACGACCATTTATCAGTAGGTGAAACAGAACTGTGCTGGAACACAGCCAGCGGGAGTTCAATTAGGCAGAAACAAATCGGGGGGAAAGGAAGGGATGGCGTTCTGCATGGGGCTCAGGCACCATCTCCTTAGAAACGGCTGCTGCAAAGCCGCCGCAATAAATGCTCTGCTGAGTCTGTCCACAGCCCCACCCGGTAGAGAGGCCACTAAGGGACAAAGCCAGGAAACTCTGGCAGCTTTCTCTGCCACAGAAAGTGAACTGGTAGCAGCAAAGCTGGTTTAAATACATCTTAGAACAGAAATAGGGAAGCTAGCTTCTTGGGGAGCTGTTCTGTGTTCTTGGCTTGTTTGTGTGTTTGGCAAGAAATACAATGGAAAAAGCCTCTCCTATCAAACACAAAGGATGCTTTCATTAAGTCATCCTTCCTTTTCATTGGATCAAATGGTTTTCAAAAATGGGATTTCTGATTCAATTAAATGATGTGGGGAAAACTTGGGAGCTTCCAATTAAGCTTATTTTCCTCTCCTTTAAAATTCCCTCCCCCCATTTTTCTGGATGTTTTATAATGTATCTACTATATTCATACAATAGTGCATGGTCATTCTCTTTAAATAAATAATTATGAATTTAATGGGGAGTTTAGGCTTGATTATTTTTATTTTATTATTTTTTTACAGGTAGAGATATGAGGCAATAAAAATTTTTGGTGTGGTGGCTCGGGCCTGTAATCCCAGCACATTGGGAGGCTAAAGCAGGAGGATTGCTTGAGGCCAGAAGTTTGAGATCAATCTATGCAACATAGGAAGACCCCTGTCTTTACAAAAAAAAAACAAAAACAAAAATTAAAGCACTAGGTCGGGTGTGGTGGCTCATGCCTGTAATCCCAGTACTTTGGGAGGCTAAGGCAGGTGGATCACCCAAGGTCGGAGTTCGTGAACCCCCTGACCAACATGGAGTAACCCTGTCTCTACTGAAAATACAAAATTAGCCAGGTGTGATGGTGCATGCCTGTAATCCCAGCTACTCGGGAGGCTGAGGCAGGAGAATCACTTGAACCTGGGAGGCAGAGGGTGCAGTGAGCCAAGATCACACCATTGCACTCCAGCCTGGGCAACAAGAGCAAAACGCCATCTCAAAAAAAAAAAAAAAAAAATTGAAACATTAGCCAGGCAGGGTGATACGTGCCTGTAGTTTCAGCTGCTTGGGAGGCTGAGGTAGGTGGATCACTTGAGCCCAGGAGTTTAAGGCTGCAGTGGGTTATGATCATCCCACCACACTTCAGCCTTGGGTGACAGGAAAAGACCCTGTCTCCAAAACAAAACAAAAAAAAATCGGAGACCACTACTTTAGAATTTAGAATCAGAAACATGCTTCTGCCACTTGCTCCTTCCTACTTAAGAAGTGGCATTCAGAGGCTAGGAGGCTCTGGATACTGGGATAACTGGAGCACTGTGATAATCCAGACAAAAGTTATGGTGTGTTTTGATAGAAAAATACAAAAATAAGAGTTCAAGGGGAATAAAAAGAAAGATTCAGTGTAAGTTATGAATATAAGCATGTAAAGTAAGAATAGGAATTAAAACAGTTTTACATTTCAGGTTATGTAACTATTTACTCAGAAAATGTTTTTTTAAAATTACCCATTTTCCAGTAGAAAACACTGGTATATGACATCCCTCAACAGTCCACCCCTGCTTCCAGTTTCCTTTATGAAATAGAACTTACTGTGATGAAAAGTGATGATTAACATAAGTGGTTACAACTATACTAGGAATAATAGTGACAGAGAAATACAAACTGTAATTGCTTTTGTTTTTCAAGGAAAAAGAGTCATTTTTCAGTGATTTTCAAGCATTTTGGTTTGTGTCACCTTTAAATTCATAAAACATTATTGACAATCCTAGCGTTTTTCTTGTATGTGTGTTGATATTTACCATATTAAAAATTAAGACCAAGATTTCAAAATGACCCATTTTATGGGGTGGGGAGGTCCCCACATCTTGGATTCCAATTCCTACCTCTGCAGAGAACTGCAGAGTGGCTGAGTGCATGGCACATTCAGCTTGCAAATGGCTTGCCTAACCCATCGGGTGCGCCTCGGCCTCCAGTTCATCTCCCTTTCCGGTCGTTTGACTTGTTTGTTGAACAGGGTATTTTTATACTGAATTCTCCCTCGGACTCTGTAGGGAAAATCAATCATGGATTGTGTGGCCGTGGAACATACACGGCCCGTGGATGAGCTGGCTCATGGCTCGTCACAGAGTCAGCTGTCTACACGGCGTGATTGAAGCTTTACGTGGGAGTGCACTCGGACCCCAGGTATTTCCTCCTTTTGTGTGTCATGGCACCCAGCTCCTCTCCAGCCTGCTGTTTCCTGTGCTGACTTACCAAGTCTGAATCTCAGGCTGGGTTCCCTCAATGAGGTGTGCTCCTCTGTGACCTCCCCACTCCCTATAGCCGCTCCACCTTCCTCTCTCAAATTCAAGGGCTGCCCAAGCTGCAAGCTCATTGAGCAGTTCCAGAAAAGCTTAAATGGGAAGAACAATGACAGGGAGGCAAAACACCTGCTTGCAACTCAAACATGTGTTTCCTTTAGAGCATCTGAATACATGGAGCTCTGGTCACTGCCTGGGCCTGGAGACGGGGCAGGGAATCAGACGGGGAATACAGTAACAAACTCGAGTCACTGTGCATTTGAAGCAAGGCGTTGATTCAACACGCCAAGATGACGGGTGGTCCCCAGATCCTGGATCCAGAGGCACTAACCACGCCTACTATACAGTGAGATACAAAGAAGTGTCCTGCATGCTCCCTTGGCCATCGGGGCCAGACCAAGTGTTTGGATTTTGTGCTGCTGATTCTGAAACTCCACCTCCAATCCTCGAGAAGTCTCCCTGCAGGTCTACTGTTTGGCTATGATCGATGGTCCCCAGGTGTGGTGTTATTTCATTTCCAGTTTATCACGTTAATATTTTACACATTATGGGGAATCCTGGAATGAGTGCTGTTCTACGCACACAGGAAAGCCACAGTTAATCTGTAGAAGGTGTTCCAGCAGCTTATGGAGCTTTGGTTTCTAAAAGACTAAAGTGCTCAGTGGACTGCAGATACCTGAAACAATGAGGATTTTTTTTCTTGTGTTTTGATTTTTGCTTTCAGGTGGGAACCCATTTTTCAAAAGGACTAATTTGAGTTGTGGTTGGATGCAAACCTTGGCTGGAATCTCCCCCACTGATCCTGTCGTTCTCTTGTGATTGCTAACAGTTCCACGCGGCACAAATAAGCCAAGGATATTGCAGGCGCGATCTGAAAGCCGGAGCAACATGGGAAGAGCAAAAAGGTCATTTTTCTTCCCTGCCACCCCCTCCATTTTCCCTGGATGCTCCTGTGGACTGAAAGCATAAATTGCACTGCTCAGCCCCTGATGGATCACTGCACAGCTGGGGCTGGGAGGCTGGAGGGAGGGTCCCCATAATCTCCTTTTCCCAGGCTCTGTTCCAATTTCATCTTCGTCCCATTTTACAAACTCTTCCCTTTCTTCCTAATCAGAGTTTCGTCTGGAATGGGTGCCGGTGCTTTTCCACTGCAAAAGCAACCCAGGCAATTTGCTTTAGAGGTTGGAGCCAAGGTCTGAGGAATTGAGACAAGAAAACATCCCAGGGTAGTGTGGAAGTGCAGCCTTCTCTATTCCCAGCCTGTTGCAGACAGCCGTGCCATCTCCTACACCCACAGGTGATTTTTTGTTTTGTTTTTGTTTTTTGTTTTCTGTTTTTGAGACAGATTCTAGCTCTGTCACCCAGGCTGGAGTGCAGGGGCGCCGTCTCTGCTCACTGCAACCTCCTCCTCCTGGGTTCAAGTGATTCTTCTGCTTCAGCCTCCCGAGTAGCTGGGATTACAGGTGTGCACCACCATGCCTGGCTAATTTTTGTATTTTTAGTAGAGACGGGGTTTCACCAAGTTGGCCAGGCTGGTCTGGAACTCCTGACCTCAGGTGATCCGCCCACCTCAGCCTCCCAAAGTGCTGGGATTCCAGGCGTGAGCCACCTTGCCTGGGCAGAGGTGTGTTCATTGTTGTTGTTGCTTCTATCAGGTGGCGAACGCCAGGCATTACCATGACTTGGGCAGTACACCTCACTCTGAGCGACAGTGCCCTGGAAAGAACATGAGCCTCTAGAGTCCATTGAACTCAGCTTTGAGTTCCAGGTTCTGTCACTTATTAGTGGACAAGTCATTAGGCTTCCCTAAGTCTTCCATTTCTGATTCTTAAAATGAGGATAAAAGGACCCACCTCGCAGGGTTGCTGGAAGGGTTGTGTTAAGGGTGCCAGGCATATACTAGGTTTCCAAACAATGAGCTAGTCCTATGTCCAGACTCTTAAACTATGATGGGTTAAAAATAGTAAATCATATTTTTTTTCATTAAAAACAATTTTTTTTTAGAGATAGGGTCACCCAGGCTGGAGTGCAGTGGTGTGATCATGGCTCATTGCAGCCTCGTACACAAGCAATCCTCCCACCTCAGCCTCCCAAGTAGCTGGGACTACAGGCATGTGCCACCATGCCAGGCTTAATTTGTTTTATTTTTATTTCTTGTACATTTGGGGTCTCACTGTGTTGCTCAGGCTGGTCTAGAACTCCTGGCCTCAAGCTATCCTACCACCTCGGCCTCCCAAAGTGCTGAGACTATAGGGGTGAACCACTGTGCCCAGCCTGAAAGAATGTTTTTGATGAAATGTATGATTGAAAGATTGACTTCGACCCTCCCTAGTCTTTAAATGTCTTTGTGCAGTATTTTACTGTGTTTAGGTTCTGCACACATTTTAGAACCTGAAAATTCCTATGCAATTATCTAACCTTCCTGTATGCAGGAGGAAACTGAGGCATGGGATGCTTCAGGGTCGGCCGTGTCTCTGCCCACTGGCCTTGCCCCCTGCTATCTATTCTGCCTTCTGCCTCTGCTCTCCCCAGCACTCACACTGCTGGCCGTGTATCACTCGACCCAGGGACTCCACGTTCTAACTGCTGCAAATTAGTAACCCACAGAATGCCACACCTAAGTATATCAATGTGCTCCATGTGTAATTACTAAGAATGTCTCATTTTCTGACCAGGTTAGAGAAGAGGGTCACCGCTATTTTGTTTTGTTTCCTTACGGCTGTAGTAGTGTGCTACTCCTGCCTTGGCCTCCCAAAGCTCTGGAATGACAGACTTGAGGCACTGTGCCCAGTCAGATTTTTTCTTTTAGTTGGAGGGCAAATGAGAAGGAGAAACTGCAAGGCTGGGGGCGGTGGCTCACACCTGTAACCCCAACACTTTGGGAGTCTGAGGCAGGAGGATCACTTCAGCCCAGGAGTTCAAGACCAACCTGGGCAACAGTTCTACAAAAAGTTTAAAGATGAGCCGAGTGTGGTGGCGTGCACCTGTAGTCCCAGCTGCTTGGTGAGGGGCTGAGGAGGGAGAATCACTTGAGCCCAGGAAGCTGAGGCTGCCGTGAGATGAGATTGCACCACTACACTCCAGCCTAGGTGACAGAGCAAGATCCTGTCTCAAAATAAGAAATAAAAATAAAGAAAAGGAAGAGGAGCTGATACACTGTTGGGTTAATAATTCCAGGGCTTAGACAAGGCTAGTTTGAGTATTTGATGAATAGATCTCCCCATCGGCAGAATCCTCGATATCTAAGAAGCGCCCCATGTTTTGTGAACATGGTCCTTCCTGGGGCTCCTGTGTTTGCCCAGTGGAGAGACAAAGGTCCACATATGACAAATTAACAAATAAAATTCAAACTTCCTTGGCTACTGTGATAGCCCTTGCCAACGTTTCAAGCCACAAAATGAGAAACACACACACACACACACACACACACACACCCCTTGCCAAGGCTTATAAAAACTGTGCAGTAGTTACATAAAGTTTCCAAGCAAGAAGTTACTTCATAAACCAAATTATTTGTGAGGCTTAAAAAAAAAACAACGAGAAAATATGTTTCTTGCTTGAACCAATTCCCATGTTAAACGTCTGCCTTCATCACTCATTTTTATTACCAGTCTAAACACAGACTGTTTCAATGGAGGCCATTTACAGCATACAATAAAACGGATTCATTACTCATTTTCCTCTTATTATCTTTCAATTGCTGTAGCTCTCAGCACTGCATACAGTGGACATTAGGTCCAAGTAGACAGTGCATTACACGATCTCAATTGATGGCAATCCCTAACACCCTTAAACACACAGACACGGGAGACGCTCTGTCCCTGATCCGTTCCCTTGCGCCGCTTTTTATCACACTCATTCTATTTTCGTCTCATTAAACTTCCTATTTTTCACAGGAAGTTCTCCCTCTCCTAGTCGATACCACGTCTCCCTCTCAGTCTGCACCCATCCCAGGCCCCATGCAGTTTGCTTAAGCCATTTCTTCTTAAAAAAAATGCACACACAAACACCCACCACATTACTCACGTAATTAAGTATAATTTCTCTAGCAACAAGCTGACAACAGCTATTAAAAGTGGAGTTGGAGATTGAATCTTGGCGCGGCCTGCAAGTGATAGTGTTCTGGATGACAGGCAATGGTTATGTCATGATCCGAACAGAGATAAGAGCCCCAAACGATGTGCTGGCTTTTATTGCATGGATTAGTACCTTCTCCCCAAACCACCTCCACCTTCCTCTGGGCTGATTCCGCTACATTCATCCGGGTGCTATTTTGATACTTCAATGTAGCTTGCTAAAATTGGAATTAATTAGCTGGGCTTGGAAGCGCAGGCCCATAATCCCAGCTACTCAGGAGGCTGAGGCAGAAGAATCACTTGAACCTGGGAGGCAGAGTTTGCAGTGAGCAGAGATCACACCACTGCATGCCAGCCGGGGTGACAGGGCAAGACTCGGTCTCAAAAAAATAATAATAATAATTTAAAATTGGAATTAATGAGGTTCAGAAAAATAGGGTCTGGAAAAAAAAGCCCAGTGGCTTTGGTAATTCGAGTTAATGCCCCTTTACTTATAGATAAAAATATTTGTTTTTATTGATAATAAACATATGGCAGCTTTCTCGATGAAGCTCTAAGTCATTTATAATCTCATGGTTCCTGTGGGCTTATTCCTGATCTAGTTAACTAAAACATAGGAGTCTTACACAAACCTGGGTTGGATTTGAATTCTCATCTACCACTCAGCATCTATGGGACCCTGAATAAGTCCTGCCACCTCTCTGTGCTTCTTTTCCCGGTCGGTCAAATGAGTATAATGATACCCCGTCTTTCAGGTTGTTGAGAGGAACAAAAAAAGATAATGTCCATAAAACACATACTTCAGTGCCCAGACTTTATTAGGTGCTTCATAAATATTAGCTATTGTGTCTGTTCACACTAGTTATTAGGTGGCTATGATGTGACAAGAGCTTTCATGTGGTGTCTTTGTGAATTCTCACAATACTGTATGGTTGGGATTATTATCCCCATGTTCCAAATGGGAAAACTCTTTAAGAAGTAAGTTTCTAGTATGTGTCCGCTGCAGATCTGTCCCGTCTCCAATGCCTTGGATCTTCTCAACGCAGTACTGTGCATGCAGGAACCCGAACCTTGGGTTTGGAAGGCATTGAAGTCTATGCTGTAAATAGCTGGTCCTACCCCAAGTTTTGGTCTGTGGTGGCCACGTCCAGGCATTCCTGAGCCACCTCCCAGTCAATGGTGGAGCAGGACTGTCCCAGAGATAGTCTGGAGCAATGGAAGGGGCTCATCCAAGTGGGAACTATGTATTAATGGTTAAAGCAATAGGAGACTTGGTGCAAGCTTCCAAGGGAAGTACTCTGAGGTCTTGGGTGATTTATAATATTGGGGGAGGCAGGGGAGGCATTAACAGCAGAAGGCACATACAATGACATTGATATAAATGATTGCATGTCAGAGAAAAAATACTGTCAGGGTCACCTTCAGTCATGCCACTTAATTCTGCTTTTTCATGATAGAAACTGAGCTTCAGAAAATGTGGCAGGGATTTAAAATGATTGAAACAGTCATTTCCTTAAAAGGTGGCTTCCTGTGTCAAAAATTAACCTAGCTTTGATTTCCACCCTTGAATAAATCTTTACAGATAAGACCACTCTCAAAAATTCAAAATGTGCACAAATGAACAGCGAGTCATTTTGAGTGGAAGGGACATCTGGCAGCATTTGGATTTAGAGCATCCCTCTAGAAATATCAGTGACTTAATGACTCATCATTTGAAAGCAATGCAGTTGGGTCAGATGGAGTTTTAGCAGCTTGTGTCAGCAACTGATCCTATTTTATAGGAAGTGGAAAGGGGAAAAAAGAGGAAGAAAAAGTGGAAGAAAGAGTTGGGAGAGTCTACTATAAAAATCCAGGCTACATTCCTTTGCGTTATCAAATTCTGTAGTCTGCCTTGCCTACCAACATCGCCTTAAGCTACTGCACTAGTCCTAGCAATAGCAAAACTTGTTCTGCCCTTGTTTCTCTCCCTTTTTTTTTTTTTTTTTGAGATGGAGTCTCGCTTTGTTGCCCAGGTTTGAGTGCAGTAGTGTGATCTTGGCTCACCGCAACTTCCGCCTCCTGGGTTCAAGTGATTCTCCTGCCTCAGCCTCCTGAGTAGCTGAGATTACAGACACACACCACCATGTCCAGCCAATTTTTGTATTTTTAGTAGAGAGGGGGTTTCACCATGTTGGTCAGGCTGGTCTTGAACTACTGACCTCGTGATCTGCCCGCCTCGGCCTCCCAAAGTGCCAGGATTACAGGCTTCAGCCACCGCGCCAGGCTATTTCTCTTCTTAGGCTCATCTTTCGGAGCATGTCTTACTGCATGGATTTGACATATGTGTTTGTCTTCTCAGCTATACAATGAACTCTTCTCAGATTGCTCCACTCATCCTTCTTTCATCTCAAACTCCATCTTGATATCACCTGCTGCCCTCCCCCACCCCCCTCCATCTGGTCCACCCTGTCTCCTCAGTGGGAGCTGCCCTGCAAGGCCCACTGCTGCTTGCCCGTTCTCAGCCTCCAGAATGACCAAGATGACACCTCTACAGCTCAGCAGGGAAAGTGAAACTCAGAGGCAAAAATGAAAAAAAAAAAGAAAGAAAGAAAGAAAGAAAGTTGCCAAGGCCACATAGCTAGTTTTGGAGCCAGAATGCAAATCTTGAATTCATGTGTTCGGATTAGTTAGCTAGCTAATTAACATATAAATAAAAGCCTTTCTGATTCCAAAACTCATGCTTTTAAAATTATATCCCACAGAGCACAGAAAACATATACTAGTTGAATCCTCCCATGGTAATTCTAACCGAAGGTTTCCTCCTCCAACTCTTCCTCTAGGCTTAGGGCCATGGTAGGTGCCAACAGAAGTAGCTGATGAGAATGTGATTGCAATTAGTGGTGGCTATTATGAGTTCCAGTTTAACGGAGAAAACACTTCTATTGGCAAATATATAATGGATTGAAATATACCAACAATAAAGAATAGGGAAGAGGGCTGGGTGCAGTGGCTCATGGCTGTAATCTCAACACTTTGGGAGGCTGAGACAGGCAGATCATCTGAGGTCAGATGCTCAAGACCAGCCTGGCCAACGTGGCAAAACCCTGTCTCTACTAAAAATAGAAAAATTACCCGGGCATGGTGGCACACACCTGTAATCCCAACTACTTGGAAGGCTAAGGTGCAAGAATGGCTTGAACCCAGGAGATGGAGGTTGCAATTAGCCGAGATCATGCCACTGCATTCCAGCCTGGGCAACAGAACAAGAACCTGTCTCAAAAAAAAAAAAAAAAAAAAAAAATAGGTCTGACTTTCAATTTTCCTTAAATCAAAAATCTATGAAGTTGAATATCTAACAAGAAACAATGTTAATCCCTTTATCCATTATTCTTATTTCCCCAACTCGAAAACCCATATTTTCATTTTCAAGTTCAATGGAGGCCCTCACATTGAGCCAATTCCCTTGATCCTTTGATTCAACCAGCCATTCTCTCTGAAGAATGGGAGGTGCCAGGGTGGTATCAGTACAGTCACTAAATATTAGATGTTCTGCACAGAGTGTTATAGGACTGGTATGGTTCGGGGAGGATTGTTCGTCAGGCTGGCTCCTGCCTTTTTTGGGTATCCTGTTTGTTACTTAGCCTTTTCTCTTACCCACTCCTCAGTGCCAGCCTTCCTACCTGGGTTCCCCAGGAGTGGAGCATGCGGGTAGGAGAGTGCCAGTCTGCATTCACAAAGAAGAGGGCTTTGCCAACCTGAAGACACCAGCTCATCTGATGGTGCCTTTTCCTAGCTGTGTGGCCTTAAGTGAATTACTAAACCTCACTCACTCTTTGTGTCTTCAACTGTAAAAATGCCGATAATAACTACCTCCCACGGTTTGGGGGGGAATTCAATAAAAGAGTGCTTGTAAAAACTCCTGGCTTTCACAAACAGACAAGGAAAATGTAGTAGATTTTTAACACATTTGCTTCCTACTTTCTTTCTTTCAAAGTCCAACATAGCAAGAGATGCAAATGTTTTCTAATCCCAAAATGAAAACGTATGTTAGAGGTCGGGTGCGGTGGCTCACGCCTGTAATCCCAGCACCTTAGGAGGCTGAGGCGGGCGGATCACTTGGGGTCAGGGGTTCGAGATCAGCCTGGCCAACATGGCAAAACCCCATCTCTACTACAAATACAAAAATTATTTGGGCG